>NC_000010.11:6373636-6525151 GCF_000001405.40 Homo sapiens | reverse complement strand
AAAGAACTTAAAATAAATCCATAGTCATTTCAAAAGTGACTTCAATAATTTTAAAGTCATTAGTTGTTGGGACTCTGAAAATGTAGGAATCCTGTTATGCATGACAGATTTCCACGGTGGGCAACAGTCACCTAGCACATGCCTGGTAGTTCAGCTGTAATGTGGGCTAAAAGCTGATGGAAAGCCTAACCCCTTTTTAAACAGTATTTCTATGACTGGCTGAACTCCGTGGTGGATGGCAAGGCTGTGTCCTACATCAGTGAGAGCCTGCCCGCTGCAGCCAGGAGGCACCTCACAGAGACTGGAAGCACAGAGGGAGGTGGGCCAGCTGGGGCCCGAGGATCCAGACTTGGTGAGACTCACAGACCTTGGCCCACTACCCTCCTCCCTCCTCCCTCCTCACCCACTTTTCTCCCTTCTTCACATCAGTACTGGTGGCAGCACCCTGAGCTGAAGGAGAAAAGTTCATATTCAACATCAGAAGTTATTTTATTTGTATGTCGCTTTGGTGAGAGCTCTGTCCTGTAAGAGGGGACCTTTCTCATCTAGGAGAAAGTCTACCCGTACCTGTCCCCATCTGAGCTATTAATTCTATAGATTCTGGAAGGAGAAAAATGAAAGTGAAAAGTAGGTAAGAAGAAAGCATGGCAGACATGCGCTTGGAATACGGCTGAAGACGGTAGATGTGGCAGGTGGTAGGATGCTGTGGAAAGGGACTGAAATCTGAGGCCTGAGTTTGAATTCAGGCCCTCCAAGCACTTTGTAACCATAGGCAAGTCACCTAAACTTGCTGAGCCCCAGCCATAAAATCTATAAATTAATAAGATGGAGATAACTACCATAGTTGTCCTGTCCACCTGACAGCTACTGGAAGGGTTTATGGAGATAACATAAGTCAAAGTGTCTATGAGAGTTCATTACAATAATTAATGTGATGACTATTTTTAATATTATTAGGTGAGTAACTAGTAACACCCACTCTTTCTCATAGGATTTTTTAAGGACCTCATGAAGCATGAGAAAGATTTTGAAAGATGGTAATTGTGCTTGGGTGGAGATGGCAGAGCTCAGAAACAGAAGGAATGGCGTGAACAGAGCCATAGAGACAGATATTCAGGGAACCTTCAGCAAATCGAGAGAAGTCCAGGCAGGCTGGGACTCCGCTGAGAGTCGTGCTGTGTGAAGGAGGCAACTTGAACCCAATAAACGGAGGCTTTTTAATAACAGGTTAAGAAGCTGGGACTCCACTGAGAGTCGTGCTGTGTGAAGGGGGCAACTTGAACTCAATACACGGAGGCTTTTAAATAACAGGTTAAGAATTAGGCTTTAACTCAACAAACACTGGGACAGCTTTCTTAAGTAACAGTGTAACTTGACCAGGGCTATGCCTTAGTGGGACTATCTATTCATGTAACCTATTAAAATTTGTGTCAGAAGATTAATAATGTCATCCCAGGTGTTTTATTTTCTATATTTCAAGGTTTAACTTCAACACTATTGTTGGTTTTTTGGGGGAAAGTGCAGAGTGTTGTTAATGTTGGCAGGCAGGAGGGCAACACTTGGTCTGTCCACGAAGCCTCCTTCATCTCTAGTTCTGACTGAGGGTTGACTGTTAGCCTTCGGTTTCCTTTGTCACTGTATTGTAGGGGTTATTTTAAAATATTATCTTCAATTTATACTTTATTATTATTATCATTATTTTGAAAAGGGTCTTGCTTTGTCGCCCAGGCTGGAGTACAGTGGTGCAATCACAGCTCACTGCAGCCTCGACATCCTGGGCTCAAGTGATCCTTCCACTTTGGCCTCCCGAGTAGCCGGAACTATAGGTGTGTGCCACCATGCCCAGCTAATTAAAAAAAGAAAAAATAGAGACAGGGTCTTGCATTGTTCCTGAGGCTGGTCTCAAACTCCTAGGCTCAAGTGATCCTCCCACCTCAACCTCCCAAAGTGCTGGGATTACAGGCATAAGCTACTGCACCTGGCCCATACTTACTATTTTAATTCACTTTTGAGATCATTTTTGTTGGTGAAAGCTAATATTTAATCTCTTTATTATACTACTTAGTAGAAGTCTTAGCAACAAAGCAAAACGCTACCCAACTATGTGATTTTTTTTTTACTAGTTATCATCTTTCTTCTGTGCACATTGTGAAAAAGTTTTTTTTTATGTTTCTTTTAACAGCAGTCACTTTTACCTAAGAAATCTTTCTATCTCATAAAGAAATGCAAAAGCTATTGGTGTAGCTTAATTTGCCAAAATTTTTCTGAATTGATGTTTACCAAATTTGGCTGAGCAGATGTAATTGGAAACCATTGAATGCTTTGTTTCTCATTCCCAGATTTACTATTGATTAATCTGTGTTCTTTCTTCCACATGTGAGAGGTTTTGATACAAGTGATGACTATTGTTATTTTAATTCTGTGAGACTCTCCCCCAACACTGAGCCATCTCCCACTAAATTATAGTAATACAAATGCTGTCCAAACATTTTATTAAATGAAGAAGTTTGCTATTTCTTATTTCATTTGCTACTGAGGAAGAGAATGCTTGATATTTTTTTCAATTGATGAGAGTATATTATACTTCTATTGCTTTCTATTTATATGGAATTTGTCCCCATCAGGTTCAGTTATGTGGACATCCTCAGCATCTCTATAAACGCATTCTGGGAGTTTGAATTGTGGAGGGTGAATCAGCCTAGCTAAATAGGTGAGTCAGTGTCCAGAG
Source organism: Homo sapiens (assembly GCF_000001405.40). Classification (NCBI taxonomy): domain Eukaryota; kingdom Metazoa; phylum Chordata; class Mammalia; order Primates; family Hominidae; genus Homo; species Homo sapiens. Next base: position 6,522,423 of record NC_000010.11, on the reverse strand, counting down.
AATCAAAAGACCAGAATTCTCAGTTCAGTACATAATAGCGTGTGACCTAAAGCACTGAGCAATTATACTTGATCATGTACCTGCATCGAAGCTACACACAAAAGACAAATGAGATCACACTTAAAGCTGAAAATAGTGAGCCTCTAAGAGTAAAGATCCTTTGTAATTTTAAAGTACATAGGGGCCGGGCGCGATGGCTCACTCTTGTAATCCCGGCACTTTGGGAGGCCAAGGCGGATGGATCACCTGAGGTCAGGAGTTCAAGACCAGCCTAGCCAGCATGGTGAAACCCAGTCTCTACTAAAAATACAAAACTTAGCCGGGCGTGGTGGCACGCACCTGTAATCCCGCTACTCGGGAGGTTGAGGCAGAAGAATCGCTTGAACCCAGGAGGCAAAGGTTGCAGTGAGCCAAGATCGTGCCATTGCACTCCAGCCTGGGCAACAGGGCGAGACTCCGTCTCAAAAAAATAAATAAATAAATAAATAAATAAATAAATAACATAACATAACATAACATCACATAACATAACATAGTACATATCATGATGGTGTTTTGCAGCTGGGGTAGCAAAAGCTTGGAAGATTGGATGGACATACCTGATATCCATCATGATAATGACTGCATCCAGATGAGGACATCAGAGGGTAGTAAGTGCTCTGCAAGAGATAGATGGAGGGTTTTGTGGGAGCTCCGTAGCAGAGTGCAGAGGAAGGTCACATAATTTAACCCAGATATGCTCCTGAAAGACTATTTCTACTTTCCTCCTGCTCTTTTTGGTACACACCAATGAAGTTGAGAAGGCCCATTAGAAAATATATCAGAGTTGTAATAATAATAACTAACATTTATTGAGCATTTACTTTGAGCCAGCCCCATTCTAAGCACCTTGTGTGTATTTGCCCATTTAATCCTCATGGCTCTTTGGGATGAGTAATAGTATTATCAGTGATTTCCAAATGAGAAAGCAGGCTTAGAGAGTTTAAATAACTCCAGCAGTTCAGTGTATGAGGGCATCGATCTTTTGTTTACAACAAGTGCTGGGCTGAATCCTTTGCTCTTGACTCCCTCTGTAATTGTCTGTCACTTAATTTGACCATTGTATTCTCTTGCAAGTAAAACAAATGCATGAGATGAAGAGATTTGGTAAAATGTTGCTTTTGAAAATGAACTCCCTAAGCAAAAATGCAGAGTCTCTAGCATATATCAGACAGGGGGATCAGCTCTGGAGGCACATAGATGATGAAGTCATGGCCCCTTCTCTCGGAATTGTTGAGGAAGACAGACGTGAACCCATAAATCCAACTGCACATTGTAGGGAAATACAGCAGCATGGGCGCTGGCACTCTGTCTCTTCCCCTATCCCACAAGCTGACCACATCTCCAAAGGAATGTGATCACAAAGGGAAATTGTTTATCTTCACTGGGGATGAGGGAAGTAAGGCACCCAAATGCACTCGTTCTGAGGAGTTTTTGCTGAATGTATTGCAGATGAGACCAGAGAGAATTGTGTAGTTGGAGTCAAACCCCTCTTCTGAGTGTATGTAGCATCTCAAGAATCAAGTAGGCGACATCCTGGTGGGGCTCTATAAGTCCCCACATTAGAGGGCTGAGAGCTGGGAGCCACAGGATCAACCCCACTCGGACTGTAGAAATGGCAGGTGTGACGCAAATCAATATGACAGGTGCTGTCTAGCAGTGCACTCAGAGAACTGCAGGAGCCAGGGCTGAGAACTTCCCATGGAGATGTGTTGATGGGAGGGCTCTAGAGGAGGGGAAGGAAGGCTTCCAAGAGGAGCTAGAGACTGAACAGGAACTTGAAAGATGAGGAAGGGGGCAGGGAGGATGGAGTGAAACAGGGAGGCGTTCCAGGGAGAGGTTGCAGCTTTCCTAGAAGGCTGAAGCTGTGAAACACATGGCACATTGGAGAAACAGCAGCAGTTTTGCAAGATCCTAAGATCATTCAGGCTGGAGCATGGAGATTGGATGGAGACTGAGAGGTGACCAAGGCTGGACAGAGGAGGCAGGGTAAGAAGCTGCTGTGAGTCACAAGAGAGGTGGTGCAGAATCGGTGGAGCAGGAGATGAAGCAAGTGGGTCGTGAGGCACAAGGGGAAGGGTAAAGTTGAAGCAGCGGGTGAGGGCCGGGCGTCGCGGCACCCAGCACCGAGCTGGCAAAATGAAGGAAAAGGCAAGTTTGAAAGGGAAGGCAGGGAGTTCTGTATGGGACCTGGTGAGTTTGGGGTCCCCTTGGAGATTTCCAGGAGAGAGTCGAATGCGTGACTTTATTGCTCAGACAAGGGGTCTATGGGGGGACCTAGCCCCTGCCTTGTTCGGAACAGCCTGGCCAGTCAGTCTTCTTGTGCATAGATTGTTGTCATAAAGTATGAGACTACCATGTGTTACACAATAGACCACCAGGATGGCTGAACAGTAGAAAAGAACTTTATTGGCAATATCAGTTTGCACACCGGGAAGAGACAGTCTTTGGCGTGTATGGAAGGTGCTCTCTCTTCAAAGAGGGAAAGTGCAGGCTGGTTTTATGCCTCCCAGGTTCCATATTACACAATAGAGTCAGATATATTCAGAAAGCTTTGGGGAAAAATCTATACATATTTATGAGGGGAGTTAAGTGCAGGTGCCAGGGGTAAACATATGTCCAACATACATCCCATGTTCACTTTGGGGCACAGTTGTAGCATTAAAATTAGATCCTAAATTTGGCTCTTTACATCAAAAGGCAAATGATAGGACACAATGACATTTAGTGTGCAGCACCTGTAAGCTGCTGAAACTGGCTTGGGGTCTGCATTTGCTTATCGGGAAAGAATGCCTGGAAGCCTGGTTCCCTGTCCAATCAGAGTTGCAGGGGTCTGGGTTGTAAATCAGAGTTAGGAAGAGTCTCAAACTTCGCCTGATTATTCTTGTTATTAGGGAGACTAACAAGGGTGTGGCTTTTCCTGTAGCTGTAGGAATTTAGGAGGTTGTGATGCCAGCCAAGCCCTGAATCCTCGACCCCTGGGTAACTTTTGTTTCTTTAACCTTAGAATCCATCTTAGCTGATGAAGGGGCAACTGTCTTGGTCTCTCAGATCACACGTGAATGGAGAGTGAAGATGAGACCGACTGAAATTTAGAGTGCACAGAGGACAGATCACACAGCTTAGTCCTGAGGCAGGCTATTCCAGCACATATTTTTGTCTACAGAAACTCTCATTTCTGGTTAAACACCCAGGGAAATCCCCTTCCCCCTACTATCTGCTCCGAACACCAAAAGGCAACCCATGAAAATCTTTTATGTTAATTTCTTTCTTGTGTATTCATTACACATCTTCTTGGCTCTTAATATAGATGGATAGATACGCATATTTTTACATCCACACATATACATACATAAACACACACATATATACTTACATATACACAGGTGTGTATATCTGTTAAATGTGGTAATTTACATACCCAGCAGCATTGTATGAAAGTGTATGATTCATTTTGTCCTTACCAACATTAAGTAATAGCATTTCAAAAATATTTGATAATTGCATGGGCAAAAACATATTATTGTTTTTATTATATATTTTTCTTTTCTTTTCTTTTCTTTTTTTAAGACAGAGTCTTGCTCTGTTGCCTAGGCTGGAGTGCAATGACATGATCTTGGCTCTCTGCAACCTCTGCAGGGAGCAAAGCGATTCCCCTGCCTCAGCCTCCAGAGTCGCTGGGATTACAGGTGCCCCCCACCATGCCTGGCTAATTGCTGTATTTTTGTAGAGAGGGGGTTTCACCATGTTGGCCAGGATGGTCTGGAACTCCTGACCTCAAGTGATCTCCTCGCCTTGGCTTCCCAAAGTGCTGGGATTACAGGCGTGAGCCACCATGCCCAGACTATTTTATTATATATTTTAAATATTATAATTCTTTTTACAGCTTAAATTAGGACTTAAAATGTTAATTTTTCCTCAAATAAAATGCATTATTAATTTCTAATGTTATTTTATTCTCAGCTGTGTTTGCCTAACTGCAAATGTTCAAAAGAGCTTAAATACCACAGAACCAAAGCTATTTTAATTTTTTAAAAGATCTGATCATTTCCCTTTAGTAATTTGATTACTTTAAGATTTTAATTTAATATGCAGCTTTTTCATATATATTCTTTTTACTTTACCTCTATAATCTCTGTATTTATAACACATGCCTTAAAATACCAATTGCATATATTTCTTTTCTTTTGGTTTTTGAATTATCATACAGTAAAATTGACTTTTGGCTTGGTGTAGTTCTGTGAATTTAAGTCTAGACTTCTGTGACCACTAGAACAATCAAGCCGGAGAACAGTTCTGTCTTTCCCCAAAATTTGCTCATGCTGCTCCTCCCTGCTGCAACTCCTGGCAACCACTGATGTTTTTCTTCATATAGTTTTGTCTTTTCAGGAATGGTACATGCAATTACATAGTATCTTATTCTGCATGTCTTAAATTGCTCACCTGGCTAAACATTTTTCCACAATTAGTTGGAACTATGATTTTTGTATCCTGTATAGCTTGTGCCTTTGCAATTTATTTTCTTGGGTCATAAACAGTGCCTTTCTTACAAATTTGTATACCCATATTATGTAAGAATGGCGTTTACTTACTTCTGTTACACTAACCATAGCTATTTCCCTGGGTAGGTCTTTACTGTTAAGTTTGGTTATTTTCTTTAAATGTATAAGACCTTACCAATAGGAATAACACTTGATAAATAATATTGTAATACTCTGGTGATCCAGTCTGATGCAGTATCCCTAAATCTGGGAAAGGTTGTAAAAAAAAAAAAAAAAAAAAAAAAAAAAAAAAAAGATGCTATCTTAAAGATGCATTTTTTTCTGGCATGTAGAAGTTGGAAACAGACTAAATATGTAGCTACAGACTTTAGTAACGCAGATCGTAGAGCTACTGTCAATAGGATGTCATGCAAGAATGACAAGGAAGCCTGAGAAAATGTCAGAGAAACTTGAAAAAAATTTTATAGTAAAATGTTAACTTAAAAAGCCAAATATAATTCCATACCCACAGGATGATCATAGCATGTAAGAAAAAAAAAAACACAAAACTTGCTAATTTAAAAAGACTAGGGAAAATAGATCAGAATAGTAACTGATTTCTTTTATTGGTGGAAATCTGGAGAGACTTTTTACTAACTTTGTGTGTCTTCTTTATTTTTCATCATGATCACCTAAAAAGTGCTCTGAACTACACAGAGAAAAGCACTCTGTGTAGTTCGGGTGTAAAACGCTGCCATCTGCCTGAAAAACTCACACCTGAGCTTGCGGTTCTATTGAATGATGTGTGAAGATTACCACACAAATACCTATTCTGTCTTCTAGATGTCAGGTGTATGTCAGGTCATGTCTGACATACATTTCTAAAGGTCTGTGAGCAGACCTTTACAGAATAGTGCAAGTGAATCTGGTGAAACGGCCGTTTAATCTGCATTGCTTATTAAGTAAGAAATCATTGTCTAGGAAGACCTTCAGGGGGACAGAGGGTTTTGCCCCAACTCTCTTCCTTGCTGTAATGGAAGCCCTGGTCACCCTGGAGGTTTCCATCTTCTCTTCCTGGGGCAGCATTTCCCAGACGCCTGCTGGGCTACTGTTGCCTGATTAGAAACCCACCCTGGGAATAGCAGGGTGACACCAGAAAAGGTCAGGGTGCTTTAACTCTGGCTTTGTGAGTTAGTGATCCCTCTAGACTCAAACAGAATTAAGGAAATCTTCAGAAAGTCCCAACAGGGCAAAAACTCCCGTAACTGAAGATGATTCTTAGTGATTTTTCCTGATTTGTGGAGAAATGAAGTTTTGTCTAAAAGACCCAATTGGCCCAGGAAAGAAGGGATTCTCAAAGAAACTCTCTCCAGAGAACTCACAGCTGTTAGCCCCGCTCCTGCCTGGGAATTCTAAACTCACAGGGCAAAGGGCGCCTCCTAAAGACAAATTTGTAAGTCATCTACCTGCTAATTCAGCAACGTGACAGATACGGAACCCAGCAAATCATGATGTTTACCCAACCATCTCCTTTAGATAAAACTTCCAAACTCTGCAGGAAATTAGGACTTCATTAATATCTGTGAAATTAATGCCCGTCAAAAGCTCCTAATTTGTCTCTCTTGTGGAGTCAAAGAACACTGGTATTTAGCATACTGGAGATCCCTTTTGTCTTAGCTAGATGAGGTATTACAGGCCCAAGATCTCCAGGTATGTTACTGATTCTCCTTCCAGGTCTTTATTATTTCAAATAGTTTTCTTTCTTTATACAAAGGCAGAAAAGACAATCAATGCTTTGTTTCTTATCTTTGGCTTACTTATGAAAGCTTAGAAAAAATTATAAGTATAAATCATCAAAAAGAGAGACGGAGCAAGGAAGTAACTTTTTTGCTGAATATCAGATGATAGTTTCAGATTAATGGGACCTCGGAAAAGTAGGTAAAAAAGAAGAGGTATCTAGTTCACATAAGTGGCCAGAACACTCAATAATGGAACAATAGATGAAGAATTAGACTAGATTCCTGGATTTGTAGCTAACACTTTGATAACTATCATCTAAACCTCTTGGAAAGCATAATTACTGATTTTTGGGCTTTTATGAAGTATTTTGTTCATCCTTATATGAGAAAGCCCTATTTTATAGTAGTCAATTAGTTTGGAGTTTTCTACGTGGTTTGTGATGTTCAAAGGCTTAGAGTGTGTGTGTGTGTAACTGTGAAGAAAGCAGACCTTTTTGAAAATGTCCAGAGTAAATAAGGATCAGCTGCCGAATGCCTTGGGCCAATCCCATTACACACATAAATAGACCATGTAAGAATTTTGCGGTGTCATATTTAACTAGTGTGACTAAAATAGACTCGCTCTATATAAACTCATTTTCTGATTACTGTGTGCTGTTTCCTGGGCACCTACTTGAATAACAGAAGACATAAAATATTGGAAAACTTTTGCCTCACTCTCCAACCATTGGGCCTAACTCCATTAGGTTGAATGGAACTAACTCTTGAGTTACTTCTCAAAAGCAAGGTTGAGTGCAGACTTCCAGAAAGCCTCTCCCCTCAGCAAGTCAGTGTGTGGTTTTGGGTGAGTCCAGCAGTGTCCTCTGCAGAAGGGGAAGTGAAAACATTTGTTCACATGGATAGTGGACCTATGTGAGGTTCTGGCTGTCCATGATAAAGCACTGGTTAAGTAGACATGGGGCACCAAAAATAATATCTTTTATAGCCCCCAAACAGCGTTTGTCTTTTGTCTTTTTCCAGGGCGCAACCATGTCGCCATTTCTTCGGATTGGCTTGTCCAACTTTGACTGCGGGTCCTGCCAGTCTTGTCAGGGCGAGGCTGTTAACCCTTACTGTGCTGTGCTCGTCAAAGAGTATGTCGAATCAGGTAAGCTTGAGGGGATTTTCAAAGCGGGGGAGGAGGAGGAGAATCCTGCTATGAACTGTGTATGAAGCAAGGTCTTCCAGGACATTTGACATCATCTGGTGGAACCAAATCCTGCCATTTAGGACGCTGATGCCCAGCAAAGCCAAGGACTTCCTCATGGACACACATTTCGTGATGGACTCTAAACCAGGACCCGATGGCCCACCGGTGCTCTATTGCACTGTATCATTTTTCCCACATATACAAAGGGAAAGAGAAAGCTGGGTTGAGGAAATTACATAAGGAGTTAATGGGAAGGAACTCTAATGAGCTGAAGTAGAACATAGCCCTATGTGGTTAAGCCTGGTTACTTTAAATAAGTCTAGGTAGATTAAGACTGCATAATCTTCCAACCAACTCTAAAGACTGCTTACTGCTGCTTTGGCGAATCTTCAGTGGATATTACAAAGCATCTATAATTAGCCATTAGAATCCAAATTTCAGAAAACGTACTTTTGCACTCACTAAGGTCTTGGCTGAATGAAAGAATAGTGATGTTTCATCAAGTTCAAATACAGGCAGCTCAAGGTGAGGGGGAAAGTGGGACAGCCACCCAACGTCCTGTTTGTGGGTTCAGAATGTTCCATTCCAACAGTCTTATGTGTAGGGAATGTCTCTGTGGTCACGTCGGCCGGCTTCCACTCTCCAAGATCTTCACCTCTGCATTGGAAGTTTGCCACGGATTTCCAAAGGAAAAGTAGGAGGGAGTTTAGATCCCACAACTCTCCTGACTGCACACCTTTTCTTGTTTCCCTACGTGCATTTTGATTTTAGCAGACACTTTGTAGGGAATGATAATGATGATGGATGCAGGCTTGCAGTAACTATGGAAGCCATCACAGTTCACTTACACAAAAGTGTTTACGGAGAGACCACTGCAAGAGTGCTGGGACCAGAGCATAGAGGGAAAAAAAGTCAAACAAGTAAGCTGAAGGAACTCAGGAAGACTGCCTTCCCTTTAGAGCATCTATTCTTGCAGAAGAAAGTGGCAATAAACAAAAATACAAACAGCAGGTAATGAAGGAACAAAAAGCAGTGTAAAGAAGAGAGGGACTGGGGGCAGGGATGTGTGTTATTTTATATAGGGTTGTCCTGCAAAGGCCTGTGAGCGAGGGACATTTGCAGATACAAGAAGAAACTGACTCAGACTTTGAGAACCTCCTGCCAGATGCTCAGAGTTCAGATTCTGGGGTTCCCAAACCTACTATTTTGCATCCCCCACCAAAAGCCTTTTTGCTTCACAGCTGACTTTGTCCTTCCAGCCACTCTGAACACATCAAAGCCAGAGAGACTGTCTGAATCATCTTGATTTCCTTTCTGCCCAGAGTTCTCTCCTGTTTAGTTAAAAGTGTGAATGCCACTTGCTCCCAACCTAAAACCTTTCAGATGTCACAGACATCTTTGAAGTGTAAAACGTCTGAGTTTTTCAAAGCCGCCTTTGACTTAATGGGTCTCCTGGATCCAGTTCTCTTTACCATCTCAGGTCTCCCTGACATTTGCTTCCTGAGGGCTTTTTTTTTTTTTTTTTTTTGCATTTGGCCTTGCCTTTGAACTTGGTCTAATGAGCCATGTGGATCGAGAGTCCTTGTCAGAAAAGAAGGAAACTGGTTTTCCTAAATATTAGCCTGTGGAGTTGGAGGGAGTTTAGAGATTTTTGCTTTTGATTTTATTTTGGGCTTGTTCTGAAAAGAAATCACTCTGAATATTATCATTCAATATTTACTTCTACAGGATTTAAACACATTTCAGTTCTTGGGGTGTAAGGCTGCATTTTCCACAATGAGCCAACAGAACAAGGACAAACAGGCTACGGGGCTGCGGGGTTGTGAGTCGTTAAAACGGTAACACTCTACATAGATAGGGCCCTCTGTTTAGGTGATTACAAACGTGGCGAATGAAAATGTAAAAAGTGCCTTGCTTTGGGGACTTTTGCCCCTTCTCAGGGTATTTTTGGCCCTTTTCTCCAGGCACAGAGAATGGTTACCATCAAAAGGAAGTATCGGAAAGGGAAGCTTCAGGTCTGTGGAAGTAAAATGTTACCGTGATCATTAATATTGCCGTTGGTTTCTAAAAAGCCCAATCTCCAGTCCAATTTTTTTTTTACCAACCCACAAAAAATGTCCCCTTTCTATTCCACGTTTAGTAGTCTCATGGTTTATGTCTTTCCTAGCCAAGTTTATCTAACATTTGAGTTTCAAGCTTATTCAACTCCTTGTATACCCCCGAAATAAATATTAATTTAACAAATGCTAAATGTCTGCTCTGTTTAGCTTTGTGTGTTGGACAGAAGGGGCCCTCGAAAGTTAGAAGGGCTTTATTTCCTGGCTTTAAGCAGATTTTTCCCCTTTTGCTTAATCGACATCTCTGAATTGCTAAATCTGCCACTTAATGTGCTTATGTCACAAGAAACAAACACTCAAATGCAGGTTTCTGCTTCTGAAATGATTAAAGAATAAATACCAGAGAAAATCCAATGTGCGTGAAAGACAAGAAAAAACTTCTTAATTAGTAAACTCTTTGCCAATCACAGAGCGGCTTTAGGGAGGTTTCCCCTAGACTGACCTTCCTGTCTACAGATTTGTTACTATTTCCAGGGCTCCTGCCTACCTGCCTTTACTCACTTGCAGGCTGGCAGTCGGCTTCAGCCTTGCTGGCTCCATGGGTAAAGATCAGCACCACCTCTCTGACTTGCTCATCAGCTTTTGCTGAGGGTGCATGGTACATGTAAAATGTATCTTCACCCAAGAATTAGAGAAGGAAATAATGGCTCATTATGTTTTAAAGATCATTGTCTCTTACTGTATTTATGTCAAATGGAAAAAAATGTAAATATTTCTTAAAGGAGCATTCATTATGCGCTGAAATTACGCCACTATGTCTTTCAGATGAACACACAGTAGTTTTGTATTGACTATGTTTAAGCTGGGGCCAGTGAGGTTAATCAGTCATAGGATCAACACTACAGATTAATAAAGGAGAATCTCAAAGGCATAAAAGATTTTTTAAAAAGTTTGTTGCTCAGGTGTTTAAACCCAGAGTGAAGCAACTAACTGTTGAATAGGAAAATAACATTTTGAAACCAACCCAATAGTCCCATAGACAGTTGTTTTTGGCTGATTATAGAAATGGACCCTTCTGATCTTAAAGCTTGGAATTTACATTTGTTTTATCTGAGTTTCTTCCTCAAGAAAGGATCCCCACACCTCTCAAAAAAAATATTAAAGAACTGAAACTCACCAGATCATGGCATCCAGAGACTGAAGCGCCAGGCCCCTGGTTCATCATGATTGCTTACTTACCCCTCCCAAGTTCCTGTTTTCTCATACAAAGTTACATTTCTTCCCTGCTATATAAATCCCTAGTTTTAGTTGGTCATGGAGATGGACTTCAGACTGAGCTCTCATCTCCTCGGCTGCAGCACCCAACTAAAGCCTTCTTCCTTGGCAATTCTCGTCATCTCAGTCATTGGCTTTCTGTGCGGTGAGCAGCAGAACTTAGAATGCCTGGTGTTTTGGTAACAATTTCCAGTCCAAGGCATTAGCAGATTGTTGTCTGAATTATCAACGCTGGACTTATAAGGTTCAATGCATCACCTTGCATCTGGACCCGGGGACTGTCTCATTCTGTCCCATATTGTCTCTGATTGTTTATGTGCTACTTTTGTCTTCCCAACAGAATTCTATATCCCAGAGAACAGAGGGAGCAGGTGCTACTGTTGAGTTGAACTGAATTATTTTCCAGGCCTGGCTGAAGGAATAATGAGACCTTACGTTTCTGTTCCTAGAGAACGGGCAGATGTATATCCAGAAAAAGCCTACCATGTACCCACCCTGGGACAGCACTTTTGATGCCCATATCAACAAGGGAAGAGTCATGCAGATCATTGTGAAAGGCAAAAACGTGGACCTCATCTCTGAAACCACCGTGGAGCTCTACTCGCTGGCTGAGAGGTGCAGGAAGAACAACGGGAAGACAGAAATATGGGTAACGTTGCATAAAGTGTATGCACATAAGGGATAAGCATGATGGTAGCCGATGACTGGCTCAGAACTCCCATGTCAATCTGAGGGTGTGATTACACTGGCCTCGGGTCACCAGGCTCCCTACCACTTCCTACTGGTGATTTGATAATGGCGATGGTTATTCTTTATGGGCTGTAGAACACATTGACATCTTCAGATCTCTTTGATGCCTACATCAAAGAGATGTAGAAAGTCTCTTAGACTATGATAAATTATTTAAAACTGTTAAAGCAGGCTTGGAATATCTCAAATTCCCCTTAAGTGGGGGATGAGTTTTTGTCTATCAATCCAGTTGTCAGTTTCATTCACTTTTTCAGTTTTGGGAAGAATATTTGTATATAAAACTTAATCAAGATTTATGAAACAACAACTCTAATGCTTTTTAACTTAGAAATTACTTGTTTAACCCAGTAGACTCAGAACACGTTAAGATATCAAAATCTTAATTTTATTAAACTTCATCAATACACTTTTAAAGTAAGTAAAAAGCTATCAGAATGCGAGAGGATAGAACAAAGATCCATTTAATGTTTGGTCTTCTCTCTCTATACTTTGACAATTCCTACAATTTTTTTCAGCTGTAATGAACTTAGCTTACTTTGACTAAGAAGTGCATCATACACAATTCATCTTAGCACACCAAGTTGTCAAAAACCTGGATTATGGTAGTAAATATTTAGAAATGTTAAAAGGAGGAGTAAAATAATCAAAGCGTTAAAAAAATTCCAATGAAAATTTCTGGGGCACAAAATAAAAGAAAATATATCAGTAAGAAACTGCTTTTACATGATCTGAAATCCAGAAAATGTTTTCAAATGTTTATATCATCTGTGCCAAAGGAGAGAATCCTGACTTTCTGCTTCTTACTTTCTATAACTCAGATTTTTAAACATCCACCCAAAAGATTTTAAACTCAGATTTTAAGAAATCCACCCAAAAGATTTTCAAGAACTCAGATTTTAAGAAATCCTCCCAGAAGATTTTCAAGTCACAGGTTTCAAATGGGAATGATACAAGCCTAAAAACTAGGTTTTTGTGTCAGTTTTGTATTTTTGACCTAAAAAAATGGATGCTTTTTAAGAAAGTATAAAAATCTTTGCTCGTATCACTAAAGTAATCTTTAGAGACAAATATATGCCAAGATTTTTTTTAAAAGGTGCTCAGGCCCATGCTTAGATATGTCCAGGTAATTTAGTTGGGCAGTATCTACTCAGCACTTGTGTGTTGGCTTGGGAAAAGGGTTCCTGGGGCCGGGTGTGGTGGCTCATGCCTGTAATCCCAGCACTTTGGGAGGCCAAGGTGAGCAGTTCACCTGAGGTCAGGAGTTCAAGACCAGCCTGGCCAACATGGCGATACCCTGTCTCTACTAAAAATACAAAAATTAGCCAGGCGTGGTGGCAGGTGCCTGTAATCCCAGCTACTTGGGAGGCTGAGGCAGGAGAATCACTTGAACCTGGGAAGCGGAGGTTGCAGTGAGCCTAATTATTTTATTAGGTAGAAGCAGGAATGGGAGAAACTGAGGAAGACCAGTTTATTTGGTCTACCTAATTTTTTTTTTAAAGAGTCGTCAATTCCCCAATTTTAAAAATACGATTCTATTCATGTTTCCTTCTCAATTAATGAAAGGATAAGTCGGAGGGTGAGTATCTTTTTGTTAAGTAGTCTTCACTGATAGGCAGGTTGCTGTTCTATTTGTATCTCTTCAAGTTGCATATGATTTCTTGCCTAGGATTTTGCTGATTTCATCCTTAACAGACTTTTCTTTGCATTCTAGGATTATTTAGACATAAGCACATGGTGGCATTCAGATGCTCATTTAACCAACTAGCACATTTTTTGCACTTTTAAGCTTTGGTGGGTTTTTTTGTTTTCTTTTTTATTTTTTTGCCAAGGTTATTTCTTAATTTACTTTTATTTTAAGAGCCAACAGGTTGTTGGGACTTATATTTTCCCTTGCTTCTATTGGAATCTGCTTTTCCAACACTAATTTCTCTAAAGAAAATGATTCTCTCAAATTTGCCTTTCATGTTTCTCAACGCCGTATTGAGAGACACCTTTTGTTTTCCCAAGGTTGTGACTGTTTTCATGGTTGTCTCCCATTCACTCCCCAAAATGTGCTGGAATGTGGCTTTCTATGGGTGCTGTTTTTCCAGTAGCTAATTGGTTTAATTTCTTCCATCACTACTAAGTACTGAATACTGCCAACCTTGTGGTCACCTGGTGCCAATTTTCATTATTCCATTTGGAAGCAGGCCCCTTACCATAGCTCTTCCATCTCCATTTTTGCCTCCATCTTTACTCCTTATTCACAAGCCAGAGAACAATGGTGCATACATGCCATGTCAAAAGCACTTTTCTTTTCATTAATCTGTTGAAACTCATATGAAAATTTATAGTTGTTGCAGCAATGCAAGCTTATTTTATCATAAAATTCTCATGGCAGTAATGCTGTGACATAGGCATTGCTATTATGTCTGTTTTTCAGAGATTTCCCAAGACTTAGTGACTTGCACAAGGTCACATAACCAGAAAATTATTTAGCCACGATTCAGATTCAATCCTGAGTTCCACAGGACATTACTTGCTATTTCTTAGTTACTCCGGCTCACGTGGATAACCCATGGACATAATGACCAATAATGACCTTCAAGTCATCTTCTTTCTTATTCTTTTTGGTCTGTTAATGGCATAGTGGGATGGTTTAATAGATTAACAACAGCGCTCAGCTTGTCTTGAACTTGGATTTGTCCTTTCTTCTCCTTATGTCACTTTATGGGAGATCCTACATCATCCCTTAAAATGACACTTTGTTCCGCCCTCTTCTACATAATAATACAGTACTGAAGTATGTATTTATATACATTTATAAATTCCTTCCCAGATCAGTGTAATTAGAATTTTCTTTAGTGGACCATCCAAGACTTTCCTAAAAATACAATCTCTCTTTGTGAAAGAGAAAAGCCATCCCCATTGAATGCCCTGATTAACCTAGACATGCATCCCAGGTAGAAAAGAAGACAGGGGCCTGGAGGCGGCCTCAAAGAGGCAGGATTTATCTTTCCCTCCAAAAGAAGAGCTTTTTCCCCAAGGAAGCCAGTCCCAGTGCCTGTGATTCTTTTGTCATGATGAAGATCTGGGTCTGCCCTGTGACAGTCCTTCAGATACGCAGCATTACAGGGCAAGAAAACCAAATAGAATCTGTTTTAGGATTTTATTTCTTCCTTATGTAAGTTTTTCTCTCCAAATAAAATTAATGAATTGCTGGGATGTTTTAAGAAAAGAAAGGCGATTGTCACGGTTGCTACAGTCGTCTGATGACAATGAGTTTGAGTACAGTGGAGAGTAACAATGATTGTATTCTGTGGTGGAAATCTCCTGCCATCGTCAGTAGCCAGTGATGTCATTGAACTCAGGGCTTGTTTCACATTCTGACTGATGTTTCTCTCCTTCTCCCAACCAGTTAGAGCTGAAACCTCAAGGCCGAATGCTAATGAATGCAAGATACTTTCTGGAAATGAGTGGCAAGTGACATTTCTTCTTCCTGTTTGGGGGTGAGGAGGGCATGGCCTTCTCCTCAAATGCAGCTTATTTTACCTTTGCAATTATTGTAGAAGAGAATCAGGAGAAAAGAGAGGCACAAAATTGTTTTAAAATTCTCAGAGGTGCTCAGGCATGACTTTAAAAGACACTATCTGGGCCGGAAAAACGTAGAAATATAAAACATTTATAGCACTTGTTTTAAGTGATGTGAATCCATATGCCCAAAGCTCTTATACTCTGTCTTTAGTTTAGTTTGGGAATTCAGTCTAAATACAAAAGACTGTTGATGTGTGGTTATGTGTGTACACATTGTCTATGGTTAAATGATGTGCTCTAAGAAGCTACCATATTATCAGTAGAATACAAAATAAGTAAGAAGTCAATCAATATATTCCATAAAATTAGTAACAAAATGCTAACACTTGAAGTTAGTCACCTCAAGTCCTTTTAGGAACAAGAAAAGGTGAGAAAACACATTGCTAAAGGGTTTTGATTCCATGTTACATGTGGACTTTGGCCACAGAAGTGAAATTTCCCGGTACGATGTGCTGAGACAGGCTGTCAGGGCTGTGTATGTGAATCAAATCCCCCTACTTAGAAAATCCTAAGTCACAGCATGGACATGTAAACTTACTGATGGTAAATTCACTTCATTTTTTCCTAAATTAATTTTACTACCAAGAAGAAGCAAGTTTAACTTTATACATTTATGGTGCTTTCTGAGTTTCGGCTTACCATATATAATTCCTCCGTGTCTAAATTCAAACAAATACATCAGAGAAAACAATATTATGAAATAATCATAGAAAACTTGAACACTCACTAGATATTTGATGATATTGAGGCATGGTGAATTCATCTTTTAGGTGTGATAATAATATTGCGGTTATGTTTCTTTAAAAGGCACACTGATCTTTTACATATATATGCTGAAATATTTTAGTAAAAGGCGAAAGATTTATTCGATCTGAAGAAAAACCAGTGAATAGCTGAAATATTTTAGATAAAATAATATGATACCATAGTTTTGCTTCAAAATAATCCAATGGTATGGGGTGTAGGATGGACAGGGTGTATTGAAAGAGAGTGGCCATCAGTTAATAATTGCTGAAACTGAATGATTGATATATGAAAATTGATTATAGTATTTGCTCAACTTTTAGGTATATTTGAAATTTTCCATAATAAAATTTTTTTAAAAGAAAGAAAGAATTACTGAGATGGGAAAAATGTACTCTGAAATTTTATTTATTTTTCCTCTTGGAAGGTGTAGATATACAGTACACATAGTACAACTTTTGAGTTGGCTGAAATAGAGTGATTGCAGGATATCCGAATAACCAGATTTGCATAAAATGTGAAAGTGCTGACCTAAATAATAGTATCAATGATGTTTAATTCCTTGAATAAGAGAAATACATTCCTCCCATTAGTTTAAATCATGACCCAATGTAAATTGAAAAAGGGTCTTGTCTGGGCATGGTGGCTCATGCCTGTAATTCCAGTACTTTGGGAGGCCGAGGTGGGCAGATCACTTGAGCTCAGGAGTTCCAGACCAGGCTAGGCAACATGGCAAAACCCATTCTCTACCAAAAATACAAAAATTAGCCAGAGTTGGTGGTGCGTGCCTGTAGTCCCAGCTACTTGTGAGGCTGAGGTGGGAGGATCGCTTAAGCCCAGGTTATTGAGGTTGCAGTGAGCAGTGATTTCACCAGTGCACTGCAGTGTGGATGATACAGTGAAAGAAAGAAAGGAAAGAAAGGAAAGGAAAGGAAGGAAGGGAGGGAAGGAAGGAAGGAAGGGAGAGAGAGAGAGGGTGAGAGAGAGGAAGGAAGGAAGGAAGGGGAAGGGAAGGAGAAAGAAAGAAAGAAGAAAAGAAAGAAAAAGAAAGAAAGAAAAGGAAGGAAGGAAGGAGGAGGGAGGGAGGGAAGGAAGGAAGGAAGGAGAAAAAGGGTCCTTCAAAAGAAAGAAAGAAGGAAGGAAGAAAGGAAGGAAGGAAAGAAAGAAAGAAAGGAGAAAAAGTGTCCTTCATCAGAATGCAAGTATTTTTGGTAAATGATTTTAAGATCCCTGCTTTGAAAAACAATTCCATGGATGGTCCTTCTATTCCTGTGGAACTTAAATATTTTATTAGAATGAGAGAGCAAATTCAATCGGGCAAAAACAATGATATTCCGTAAACAATAATGACATAAGCCTAGGAAATGTTTTAAGAATAAAGCTTTGGCCGGGCACGGTGGCTCACGCCTGTAATCCCAGCACTTTGGGAGGCCGAGGCAGGTGGATCCGAGGTCAGGAGACCGAGACCATCCTGGCTAACATGGTGGAACCCCGTCTCTACTAAAAATACAAAAAATTAGCCGGGTATGGCAGTGTGTGCCTGTAGTCCCAGCTACTCGGGAGGCTGAGGCAGGAGAATGGCATGAACCCGGGAGGCGGAGCTTGCAGTGAGCCAAGATTGCACCACTGCACTCCAGCCTGGGAGACAGAGTGAGACACCATCTCAAAAAAAAAAAAAGAATAAATCTTTGTAATATTTAAAACTTTTTATATCTAGATCCAAATTGACACTCCATCTCTAAATTTTTATGTGTCAAAAAAATCTAATTTTAAAAACCAAAGTTATGGAATAACCTAACTAGAAAATTCCTTGTTGATGACAAGGAGGAGAGCATTCTTTTAAGAAAGCTCATTATTAGTATAAGAAATCGTCTTCTGAAGGATTCAGAAAAGCAAAACGTGTTCTTCTCCTCAGGGAACATATACCCAGAGGTGGTACAGATTAGACAATTAGATAAAATTATAACCTAAACCACACAAATACTGATTAACCAAGAGATCAGTGTGTGTTGCTTTCATTTCAGTAAGTTCCACAGTGTGGGCATTAAAGGTTAGCAAGAGTTGAGTTTTCTAAAGAAGAGGGATGGCCTTACAAGGAGGAAAAAGTGAAGGCTTGAGCAAGAATATGCCTTGTGTGAGGGCTGTGGGGAGAACAGCCTAGGTAGACCAGCAGGCTCCTGCTGAAACCAGAATGAAGAGTCAGAGACAGATGTTGGAGGGCAAGAGGAGTGCATAGTCTTGGGTCATGCTTTGAACTAATGGGAAGAATATACTTTCTCTTACTCAAGGAATTACACAGTATTGGTCTACAAAATTTCACTTATGTTATGGAGAGGTGATAAAAATCTGTTCTAAGGGTGTAGCTACAGGAATAAAATAAAAGGAACAATCTAAAAGAAAATACTGTTGCAGAGAGATTTCATGGTAGAGTAGATGAAATATCTACAGAATGCCTGTTAAGTGTACATAGTTGAAATGCTTTATAATTCTTTAAAAATTAGGCTGGGAGCAATGGCTAATGCCTATAATCCCAGCACTTTGGGGGCCAAGGCAGGAGGATCACTTGAATCCAGGAGTTTGAGACCAGCCTGGGCAATGTAGAGTGACCCCATCTCTACAAGAAAATTTAAAAATTACCTGGGTATGGTGGCACATGCCTGTAGTCCCACCTACTTGAGAGGCTGAGGCAGGAGGATCACTTGAGCCCATGACTTCAAAGATAAAGTGAGCCAAGATAGTGCCACTGCACTCTAGCCTGGGCAACAGAACAAGACCCTGTCTCCAAATAATAATAATAATAATTAATCCTTAAAAATGTAAGTTGAATGAAGGGAAAAAATGTTGAGAATATCTCTTAAAATAGCTAGACTGGGAAAATGGTAGGAGTCACAGAAGTGGGAGATATGGAAAGAGGAGGAAAATGATTGGGGGATAAGGAATTCAAATTTGGATAACACTTGAGATAATACCATGTCTCCCATGTTTCTCTTCCATGGAAGCCTCACCTCCTCTACCTCACCAGGAAGTAAATGGCTCAGCTCTCCATAACAGACTACTTTGTTCTTTCTCTTTGAAATCCCCTTCTGTTGGGTTTTTGAGCAGGAATCATTTTTTCTCTTCTTCCTCTGTTCTCCTATTATTACTCTTGTAACTTCAGAATTCCCCAATGTCATCTCATGCCCCCCTGCCAACTTTCTATTTCACACCTTCCTGTGCTTCTCTATCCATTCAGTAACCAACCTTCAACCCACATATCATCACTCAGAATTCTCCACCTCCAGGGACTCACACTCAGAACTTGCTTTTTCAGAGCTCATCTTCCTCCCCTGGCAATTCTGCCCTTATTCTCAGACAATAAGTACTAGCCTTTAGTCCAGTTTCTCTTTTACCCTATTTATTAGCCCACTTTCTGGCATTAACTCTACCTAGCCTGGCTCCCATGATAAGCCTTTGTCAGCACTCTGCTCTCATTAGTTCCCCTTTGCCATGGATAGTCTGATCTCCAAACCTTGCATTCTCCCCTCTCATTCTCCCCGGCTTTGCTAGAAAAAGTCATACAGCTAAGTGTGTTACAAACAGATGGTATTAGATGACATTCCTATGGTTCAGACTCTATGTTTGGCTTCTTAGCAGACCTCTCTGACCAGATTTCCTGTACTTACACATTTTAAGGGGTCAAATTAAACTAAGTATCCAAAATTACATTTGCCACATTCACGAGTAACCTATTTCTTTTGTAACTTACTATCGTACTTAATTATATAATAACTCACTCCACAAAACCTGGAAGTAATTTTTATAGCCTCCTTTTCTTTCAACTTCCACATGAATGCATCAGTCAATCATTTGTGTTCGTGTTGTCTAGTCAATATTTTTTCCATTTCATCATCTAATTACATCATTACTACCTCCTGCCATATCCCATCCATTCTCCTATGGTGGTCCTAGAAGTAACGATGCCAAGCTCAAATCTGACCATATCAAGCCTCTGCCCCTACTGCAGTGTTCCAGCATCTGCAAATTGTCTGCAGGAAAGTGTTCAAACTGATCTGACACCTACACATCTTCTGGAAGTGACTGCTGATCGTTTCTGCTTCACCCTCTGCACTCTGGCAATGCCCAGCTAGTGCTGGACCCCCACCCACACCCTGAGGAACCTTAGCTCTGTAGCTTTGCTTGTTCCCTTCCACCCAGAGAGAGCACCTTTGGCTTTTCCCCACCATACCTTCTCCCACACATTAGTAGGAGTTACCTGTCCAGAATTCAGCACAGAAACATTTCTGCCAGGACGTTTCTTTTCCAACTTCCCTCTTTCTCTCCTTCACCTACCTCCACCTGCCTTAGCTGGTATAGTTTCCTCATTTCCGTGGTCCCACAGCATCCTGTGAATACCTCTGTTCTGACACATCGATTTTCTTTCCCTCTGGACTCTTAACTCCTTGCAGAACAGCCACTGTCAAAACACGTCTCATTAATTCCTTTAACTGTGGTGCCAAGTTTCTGGTGAGGCATGCAGGAAGTACACAATGAATGCCTGCTGAACTGTTCAGCTGGACTCACCTTGGCACTTAGAAATCTCCTTCATTTCTTTTTGATTCCCACACAATGGCTATTCCTACCATTCCCATCCTCCTTGGTTTCTGGGGATGCCTCAATCTCCTCTGATTCTGGGAGGTTGACCTTGCCTCCAATATAAGTGGTAGAGACCCCATCTTCTTTTTATTTAATTTTTTTATGTATTTTTTTTTTCTTGAGACAGAGTTTCGCTCATGTCGCCCAGGCTGGAGTGCAATGGTGCTATGTTGGCTCGCCGCAACCTCCGCCTCCCGAGTTCAAGCGATTCTCCTGCCTCAGCCTCCTGAGTATCTGGGATTACAAGCATGTTCCACCATGCCCAGCTAATTTTGTATTTTTTTTAGTAGAGACGGGGTTTCACCATATTGGTCAGGCTGGTCTCAAACTCCCGACTTCAGGTGATCTGCCTGCCTCGGCCTCCCAAAGTGCTGGGATTACAGTTGTAAGCTACCACGCCCAGCCGAGACCCTGTCTTCTGTTTGTCTCTACACTTTAGGATGCAGTTGCTTCCTCCCGCCTTCTCCTCCTGCTCCTCTGCCTCAGAGACAGCTGCTCCCTTTCTTGGTTGCACACCTCTCATCCCAGCAGTCCTGCTCTATCAATAAACTTTACCTCTGACATCCTCAACTCTTCCTTCTCTCTGCAGTTTCTTCCTTATTCCCAAGACATACTGCATTATGCATCTTCCCCAATCTTGAACATCATCTCTTCTTTTTTTTCACCTTTTTACCTCCTTGAGTTTTTTTTTCTTTCCCTAACACATTCCTTTAAAAAGTAGTTTATATTTATCAGTTTCTTTTTCTTCCCTTCTACTTCTATTCTTAGACCCTAAGACTCTGGGTCTCCAAGATTATGAGTTCTCACAAGTGGTTCCTGCTTCTTAGCCTTCAATTTCCTTGATATCTCTCTATCATACAATGCTGAAAACTTCATTTCTTTTCAGCTTGCCTGATGTGATATTGTCCAGGTTTTCCTCTTAATTTTTCAGCTGCCTCTTCTTGGTCTCTTTTGCCATTTCTTTTCCTACCTCCTAAAAAATATGGGTACACATATCTCGGAGCCTATTCCACACCATCATATATTGCCTCTTAAGGTTGGCTGTTCTGTGCCTGTGCCACGTCTCCCTGACTTGACTGTTAGCCATGCAAGGGTGAGGAATAATGTGTTTCTTCAGCACACTCAGCAAGGCAGTTTACTCACAGCTGCTCAGGAAACTTGTAATTTGATTGACTACAAACAAGTGATAGGTTAGACCACATAAATAGATTAGAATCCATTAGTATAAAAGAAAAAAAATTGCAAAAACCAATGAGCTCATTCAAACCAGTAAATAGAGAAATAAATATAGTCAATACAAAAAAAATTAAAGAATTCTATGTTTTTACATTTATTCTTTTGTAATGATTGAAATAGAGAATAATGAAAATCACAGAAAATAACAGGGTATTAATTCATTTCTAGAAATTCCTGATATTTTAAAAAAATTATAGTACTATAGTCTAATGTAGAAATTGTGTATATAACTATATATTTATAGTTTATAAAAATATAAACTATATGTAGACATATATGTATATAAACATATATGTATAGATATATGTATAAAATATGTTTAATATACATATAAACATATATGATTTTTACAGTAAAAACCTGTATAGGGTCCCCATAATAATTCACTTTCATTCCCTGCATTTAAAAGTGTATTTATACTTATTTTTATTTTATTTTATTTCATCTGGACCAAAATAGAAACAAGTCACATGTTATAAACAAATGACCTACTATACTAGTCACAAGTTGTAAATAGATTTGGACATTTAGACCAGAACTTGTGGAAGAAGGTGATTAACTCAGTGATCCTTAATTTAACCCCTCATTTACCAAGCCAAATCTATTATTTCCAGCCTAGTTCCAGGTAAAAAGACCAAAATTACCTACTCTTAAAGTATTAGGCAAAGTATTATGTCCCATCTGTGGAACTGTTAGAGGGTTACTGGAAATGCTTTTTGTCTGGAAGTTGGGGTTGCCATAAAACAAATCTGCGGACACTACAGAAAAGACTTCAGTCCTACAATGTGTCCTGGGATGTGGCTGGATTCCTGGGGGAGGTTTCTACCCACACAGCTCCTCCTTTGTCTACCTAGAGTGTTTCTAATCTAGCCACTGTTAGGGATTGGACAATAAGGTATCTTGGAAGATAATTTGCCCCAAACGCATTGTCAGGCTACTGCCACTGCTTAGCCACAATAGAAGAAATTTAGTTTGAATATTATTAACTCATTGTGAAATATGATGAACCTGCTTTTTAAATGAAACCTCAATGTTTTGTATTTGTAACAAAATAGAAGAAGTAATCCAAGAGTCTTCAAGCTATTACAAAATTATAACTCTGGGATTTAAATTCATTATCCTTATTTATTTATTCACATATTTATTTGTGTATCATTTTTGTTACAGCAGTGGATATTTTTATTTCTTTACTGTTCCTTGTGTTATTCTCTCTCACCTGCTGTGTCCACTGTGCTGTTTAACCATGACTGCCTTACAATTTGGTGTTTCATGAGGACCTGGGCTTCAGCAAGGGCATCCTGAGCATTCTCATAATTTGACTATCTTAGTTTTTCAACCCTTTGGAAAGATGTCATTCAGGTATAGGGCACTGTAAACAGTGACTATCCAAAGCACTTTCACCAATATTTATGAGCCCAGAGTAAAATGAATAGATTGAATCTGATGGTTTGATGCTGATGACTAGGTAATGCACAGGATTACCTAGACACCAAAAAAATGCAGTGAGCTATTAATTTTCTGGCCTTTTTCACATTGGTAAATATGGTTGGCAGCTGGTGTGTCTGATCACTGTGGACATCAGGAACCAGGACACAATGTCCCAAAGTTCCTTTCTCCTCACACAAAATCCTGGTCAGCTCCCCCTAGTCTACTCCAGCATGTCTCCAACAACCTGCTATAAAGCATCCTGGCACCTCTGAAATGCTGTTCCCAAGAGGCTGTCAGTAACCATGTGATTCTCTAGAATTACAGACAGGAAAGCCTTTGCCACTTCCTGCCTTTTCTGACTGAGTCATCATTGATGGTGACAAAGAGAGGTTGATAGATCCCTTCAAAGTTCTAATCTCTGGTTTTGAAACTTGAAGAGGATATATCGCTCAGCCCAGTCAAAGAGGAGCGAAGGATTGAGCCAGCAATCCAACATTGTTTTCACCCTCTAACAATATGCCCTATGATGAATCTGTGTTGTAGAATTTGAGGAAAGATGCTTAGTGTGGTACCCACCATAATGAGTACCTGGAATGTTACAGCAGGTACTCAGAGCTGGTCCTCCTCCATCCCTTGCCCATCTCCCTCCCCTCCTGACCCAGCTTAGAATAGGAGTCGTCCTTTTGCAGAACTTCACTTTCTTCCCCTCTCTCTTCCTGTAGACACAAAGGACATGAATGAATTTGAGACGGAAGGCTTCTTTGCTTTGCATCAGCGCCGGGGTGCCATCAAGCAGGCAAAGGTCCACCACGTCAAGTGCCACGAGTTCACTGCCACCTTCTTCCCACAGCCCACATTTTGCTCTGTCTGCCACGAGTTTGTCTGGTACAGTAACTTGGCATCTCCCTCCAAGCTTCGGGTTATGCATTTTGTTGCGTCTTCTTAATCCTCTACGCTGGCATGCTCCACTGTGGGGGGTGTGCTGGAGTAAATGCTACCTCAGCGTTGTCAGGGACCTTGCCTGAACTGAGAAGGTTCAAATGGTGTGATCCAATAAAAGAGGTGCATGAGGAAGCCAGGTCTAGTCAGGAAAAATGCCCATGGGATTTTAGTTTCTGCCTCAATGGGGGGGCTATTGGGGGTAAGTGGGAAGAAACAGAAGTGAAAGGTATCTTTATTACAAACAGTTTTCCAGTTTTATAGTCAAAACTTCCCCCACCTAATGGCCCAACCCTGCTGGTGCTACTTTTTCCAGCAGGCAGCACTCTGCCATTGTAGCTAATGGTTTAAATGCTTATGAGGCTCTTGGGTATCTTAATAGCCATCAAACAGATCAGTTTAAACCTCAGTAACCACATAGCAAAGGCTATGACAGAGTGGAGACTTGAAATAACTCCTGTTTCTGGCTCTCAGCATCCTAGCCTATTAAGGGATACTCTTCCCTTTAGGCTACTGCAGAAACTGTTAAAGCACAGCTCCTGTGTAACCAGGGTATCCACATGCCAGATCGACTTGGCGGGTTTTCATCAGCCTGCTTTCGTCTAATCACTTGAACCTCCTTTCTCTCTAATCATGGATGTCACTCAGGAATCGGTCCTGCATGTGAGACTTTGTTGGTTGCAAATATTCTCAGATGCTCAGAAAGAGGAAATAAAATGTTACAGATGTCTTTGTTCGTCTGTAGTGAGCTCAGCGAGGCCATGAATTTTTAAATCTAGCACAGGGAAACGTGCTACGAAGAGTCTGTGATGCATGCATTTTCATTCATGCATTTTAATCTCTATATGTTTGGAAAATACAAGGATGATAAATCAGCCAGTTCTCATTTATTTAATTATCAAACTTTTTAAAACGCAGCTTCAAATGAAAAACACTCTGTTAATACTCTTGGCAAATGATACAACAGGGCTGCTGATCAGAAACTGCTCTGTGATCTTAGGGGGTTATGAGATCTCATCCATCTCTTAAATGCTGTTGGTGCTGATGTTGATGCCAACATTGAAATAAATCAGCGTGTGCTTTATTACAGGGGCCTGAACAAACAGGGCTACCAGTGCCGACGTAAGTAAGAGGGTTTTGGTTGCATTACCATCATTCTTTTTATTTAGTTATTCCTTAGGCTATGAAAATCTTAAGCTGTGATTTTTTTCTTCTTTTCAGAATGCAATGCAGCAATTCACAAGAAGTGTATTGATAAAGTTATAGCAAAGTGCACAGGATCAGCTATCAATAGCCGAGAAACCATGGTGAGTATTTACACTCCTCTTTGACGTGCAGTGATTTTTATCAGAACGTTAAATGTTACAGCCCACGAATTCTTCAGAATAATGCCAGAACTTGCATCCTCCCATTTATCAGTGAACATCCATCTCCCCAAAACTCTTTCCTCTTCAATAATGATTCTTACTGAATTACCCAAACCAGAGGATGAATTAGAAATTAGCCAGGCCTGGTGGCATAAGCCTGTAATCCCAGCTACTCAGGAGGTTGAGGCAGGAGAATCTCTTGAATTCGGGAGGCGGAGGTTGCAGTGAACCAGGACCATGCCACCGCACTCCAGTCTGGGCAACAGAGTGAGACTCCATCTCAAAAAGAAAAGAAAAAAAAAAAAGAAATCTGCACTTGTACCTCCTAAATATACACAAATTATATACAGGAAGAATTTTCATTGCTCTACTTTTCCAGAAAAATGGCATAGAAAGTGGCCAGAAAGCATAGTTTAGATTAATTATATGAGAATAATCCTTGTGGCACCCCCAGCTAGAAGTGACAGTAAAAGAGTAAATAAAGGCAAATGATGATAAGATACAGCAACATGGCATTTACAAGGTTAGAGATAATAACAGAGGCATAATTTTATGTTGAGAAGCAAATATTTCTTTTAGAGTAAACGTTGAGGTATAATCGGAAGACAAATTACATTTTACCTAATGGAGGGGGGAAACTGGGCTAGCACATGGGCAGTGTATCATTATGAATTTTAAATTTTTAAAAATTTATATGTATTTAGGAGGTACAAGTGCAGATTTCTTTTTTCAATTTTTTTTTTTTTTTTTTTTTTTTTGAGATGGAATCTTACTCTGTTTACCCAGGCTGGAGTGCAGTGGTGTCATCTTGGTTCACTGCAACTTCCACCTTCCAGGATCAAGAGATTCTCCTGCCTCAGCCTCCTGAGTAGCTGGGATTACGGGCATATGCCACCACGCCTGGCTAATTTTCGTATTTTTAGTAGAGATGCGGTTTCACCATGTTGGCCAGGCTGGTCTCAAACTCCTGACCTCAGGTGATTCACCTGTCTTGGCCTTCCAAAGTGCTGGGATTATAGGCATGAGCCACCACACCTGGCCTACAAGTACAGATTTCTTCTATGCCTATATTACCTGGTGGGGAAGTCTGGGCTTCTAGTGAACCCACCATCCGAAGAGTGAATATTACACCCAATAGGTAATTTTCAATCCTCCCTCCCTCCCATCCTGCCATCTGTAGTCTCCAATGTCTATTACTCCACTCTGTCACTCATTATGAAATCTTTTGACTTCCTTCTCCCACCGTTTCCTTTTTCATTCCACAAATCCTCACTGGGTATCTGATTCATGGAAGATACCGCATTCTTCCAATGACAGCATAACACAAAACAGACGTGGTCCTGCGAAGTTGGAGAAACAGATAATAAACAGCTATGTATGGCTTCGATTTATATTAAGTGCTACAAAGATAGTGAACAAGGTGCAAGGTGGAGAGTAAGCATGTGGCCTACTGAGACTCTGTGGTCCGGGAATCTCCCCAACGGAGGGAACATTGAAACTGACAGCTGAAGAGTGACAGAGCTGGTTAGGTGAAGAGCAGGAGGAAGGAAGCTCCTTACAGGCTGGAAGACCCTGCTGAGGGAGAGTCCAATGTGTTCCAGGAACTGAAATGGGACCAGTGTGGTGACAGCTGCAAGGGCTGCGCAGACTGGAAGCCCACACTGGGGAAGGCACCAAGGCCTGGGTCATGCGGGGTTTCTTTGGAGCCTGGAAAAATGATTGTATTTTGTGCAACTTGTAGTAGAAAGCCCACTTTGGGATGCTGTAGTAGAAATAGTGCGTTGAGATGTGAAAGTGAAACCAGAGGAGATGGAAGGAATCCTCCAAGCGGGGAGGTTGGTGGTTTATACCAGTGAGACGTCAGCAGAGGTGGAGCAAAGGGGCAGGTTCTCAGGTGATTTTGATGTTAGAAATGACTGGATTTGCCAAAAGATTAGATGAAAGAGGTGGATATAAGGATGATGCCGCAGGTTCTGGCTTCTGCCCGAGGCCGAGCAGTGTGGTAGATAACAGAGCCACGACGGAGTGAAGAAGACTGGAAGGAGAGATGAATTTTTCCAGTTTGGACATGTTGAGTCGGAGAGGTGGACATCCAAGTTGAAGCATCAAATAGACAATTTCACATGAGCTTGGAATTCCTCTGGGACAAGGGCCCAACCCTATAAATTTGACAGTGACCATCATATAGGTAGATTTTAAAGTTGCTGAAGAGATTGCCTAGTGAGGAAATAGAGAAAGTTCAGGACTGACTACAAAGGAATCTAAAATGAGATGTTAGGTAGAAGATAAAGGACAGAGATAGACATTGAGAAACTGGGCTCAGAGACCGCTCCTCCTACACCCAGAGTCTATGAAGTTACAGAAACCAGAAGAAGAAGAGGTGGGTTGTGTTCTGTGCAGTTGAGGTGTTGAAATTGAGGCCCACGTGCAGATCTTCACAGGCTTAAATCAGAGAAATGTCAGGGGCATCTTGGAGGCATTAGTCTGATTGACCTGCAGAAGGGTGACTGAGGTGATGACATGAAAACAACCTGTAAGTTGATATTATGAAGAAGGTGAACCATGAAGGAGATGATGGACAGAGAACAGTGGCTGGGAAATGAGACCCCAAGGATGGCAAGTGCTCCCGTGGCCAGGGAGAGATGGATAAAGCTGGAGAGACAGATAAACAAAACAGTCAAGTCTGTTGGCAGGAAGCGAAGAGGGCCTGAGCTCTGGTGGAGACTGGTCCCTGGAGCTTCCACAGTTTAACCGGAAGGGAGTAGGGCAAGACAGTTGCTGATGGGGATGGGTGTGGAGCTTTGGTGATGGGCACACAAAGGCGCTTCCCTTAGACTGCATGTGTCCCCCATGGAGTTTGATGGCTGGAGGAAGGAAAAGAGAAAGCAACAAGTGCCTTCGAGGAAAAAGGAAGATCTATGAGATAATTATCTTAGAGAAAGCAAGGTGACTCGTGAAAAGCAGTCAGACTGTGGAGCAGAGCTGAAAGTCCATTTGAATTTGACGGAGTCAGCCTGCTCAGGAGTATGATTTTCTCCAACAAAGGGGCAGGTTCAGAGAAGGCGAAGTGGCTGGGTTTTTCCAGAGTAGAATTTCTCCTAACATTTAGAAGCAGAAGGAGATAAACTTGTGCTAACCGGTGATTCTGCTAAGACTCAAAGAGGTTAAAGTAGTTTGTTCATGTTTGATCACCTGTACGTGGCAGAGCTGGTACTAAAATTAAGATCACAATCTCTCAGACCATGTTTTTGCTTGCTTAGATCAAATTTTCACCTCCCAGACTTCTTCCTTTACTTGATGCCTTCAGCTTTTCTAGAAAAAAACGCAAATCTCTGAATCACTGTTAACCTCAATGACTAACAAAGTTCCTGGTACAAAGTCTTGAGAAACTGTCAGCTACATAAATAAATGTCTGTGATATTATCTTCTCCCAGGATATTTTGATTTCTTGTTCACTCAAGGGGACATCATCTTTGGGATTCTTTTGTTCCTCTACCCCTGGAGCAGTATTGTCCGATAGAAATAAATAGAATGAGGGCTACATGTGTAATTTTACATTTCCAAGTAGCCCACATTAAATAAAGGAAAAAGCAATGGGTGAAATTAATTTTAATAATACATTTTATTTAATCCAATCTGTTCAAATATCATTTCAACAAAAAATCGACATTTGAAAAATTCAGATATCTTAAGTAATTTTATACAAAAGTCTTCAAACTCCAGGATGTATTATTTTACACGTCCAGCACATCTCAACTCTAACTCACCACCTTTCAAGTGTTCGCCAGCCCCATGTAGCTCATTGGTTTTCATACTGGAAAGCGTGTACATAGCGTCTTCATCAGCCATGGTGTCTTGAGCTGTTTGCCCCTGCATTCAAGATTCGAAGTGGTCCCCTTCCAGCCTGGACCTTGACCTATTAATTGTCCATATTTAAACTGTGGAATATAAGTGAGTCCCGAAAATTATTTTTTTCTTGGTTGAAAATGGCTGTAGTAAGTGCTGAGCAATTTTTAATCGATTCTACACAGGCTTTCTAAAGAACCAACGCTGACCAGTACCCCTGGCGGGAACGTTAGATCTATTGCTGTGCTGATGAATAAGGCATCTTTGCTATGCACCTTCCCAAAGGAACTGTTGAATTAGAAACTTCTGCAGAGATTATAAACCTTTAGAAAATAAAGCATTTTATCCTGCACAAGAATATTCACATTCTTACCAGGAATCCAACTATCCAAGTGTTTTGTTGTTCCTGCAATAAGTTTGATTTAAACTCTGGAAAACTGTTTTTTAAAAAAATTCCATGTCGATCACTAGCATCCCTCTCCCACTCCCCTCTCCCTACCCCGATAAGCCTTCACATTTATTTTGAGACAGAAAAGAGAATGGCTGGGCTCTGATTCTGACTGCCAAGCTTATAGATATCCCAGCTCTAGAGCTGCGTGTCCTGGGCAAGTTTCTTACCTTCTCTGTGCTTCATTTCCTCGTCTGTCAAAGGAGGATACTAATAGAAGCGACTTCAAAAGGGGTATTCTGAGGATTACGTGAGATATCACCTATGTAATAGATGATGCGTGTGACATATTTGTTAACCGCACCTGGCAGGAACTGCTCCCTCCTCTTGCCACCTCAGTTCATGAATAATAGGTGTGAAAATGCTTCTCACATTAGGCAGTAATACTGATAAACCCATAGAAATGTTTCCTTTAAAGAAGGCATTTTTTTTTTTTTTTTTTACATCTTCCAAAGGTTAAAAGCACTAGTTCTGGACTGAAAGAGAAAAGGAAATATTTATAGTAAAACAGGAAGGGAATCTTCATCTATTTAAATGGGAGCACTGTTTCCTTAGCACTTTTTAAAATAACCCTCATGCAGTCTTCCTGAGCTTTTAGCCTGTCTGTGTGAATGCCTCAGATTTCAGCTGTCTGCAAGGTTCTTGCTACATGCAGAAGGCAAGCATGCCCCGTCACGTACAGTTGCTGAGGCTGCCTGCCTTCTTCAGGCATGACTGTAGGGCTTGACAAGTGACAATGATGGTTTAAAATGCACACAATGCCAGTGTTTTCATTATGATCTCTGTTAGTTATGCTAAGGTATCTGCAAGAACATCCAAAGTCGGGGCCCCAGGAATACACAGATTTCACCTTCTGCCTTTCTTTCAGTTCCACAAGGAGAGATTCAAAATTGACATGCCACACAGATTTAAAGTCTACAATTACAAGAGCCCGACCTTCTGTGAACACTGTGGGACCCTGCTGTGGGGACTGGCACGGCAAGGACTCAAGTGTGATGGTGAGTCCAGTGGGGGATGAGCATGGCCCGACGTGGACCCCCTAGGGGATGGAGCAAGGCTTTCTGGGGAACTGGAGGGAGGATGTAGGGGGTACCACTTCCACACCCAGCCCAGACAAGTCATGATCATAAGTATGGTCTTCTGGGGCAATAAGCCACTATGTTCCTTTCCTTGCACCCTGCAACACCCCCACCCACACATCCCAGAAAAGAGCACAACAGTTCAGGTTCAAGGTCAAACTCCTAGCTCCATCACCTTCTGCCGTACCATAGCCCTGGGGGAAATGAAGACAGTGTTTCTCCTCTCACTGGTCTTTCTACTACTAGTTTCCTCAGTGGGCTCTGGGCTGCCCCTTCCTAATCCCAACAGGTCTAGCTGTGTGGTACCCTAACCCTTCTCCTTTGCACCAGCCAGTAAGATTCTTTCTGTCATCTCATCAAGGAGCAAGCCCAGCACATTCATTTGGCTGACACATGGTCCTGCACAGAAATTCTGTAACATTAGCTTGAGCATCCATCCCTAAACCATTGCTGTGAACTCCAAGTGCCCAGTAAGAGGCTGGCCCGGTTGTGACCGTCATTGCCTGTTTTCTGGTCTTTCCTCCAAGGCCAGGATCGCAGCAGAGCCTAACCTGCCATTCATTATTGATGGAGTTTCTCAGACCTACCATCAAAAAAGGAAACAAGGCAAGGCTTTCTTGCTGTACAACTCCAAGTTGCTAAGGCGATAACGTTTAGAAGCTGAGATGCTGTTACACTAGGATTAAGGACTAGGGAAGAAAAAAAAAAACCCTCAAGAACTGACAAGGCACTCTGCTTTCTGGTTGGGGAGAGACGTGGGCAGAGCCCAGAGAATAGAGCCACAAAAGGAGAACCACCTGTTGCATACAGACAGCTTCTGATTTTTTTCTTCTTCTTTTACTTTTTTTCTGAGACAGGGTCTCACTTTGTTGCCCAGACTGGAGACTGGTGTGCAGTGGCTCGATCACAGCTCACTGCAGACTTGACTTCTTGGACTCAAGCAATCCTCCCACCTCAGCCTCTCAAGTAGCTGGGACCATGGGCATGTGCTACCATGCCTGTTTTTGTTTTTTTTGTTTTTCTTTGTTTTTTTTTTTTTTTAGAGGTATGGTCTTGCTATGTTGCCCAGGCTGGTCTCAAACTCCTGGGTTCAAGCGATCTTGTCTCCTCAGCCTCCAAAAGTGCTAGGATTACAGGAGTGAGTCACCATGCCTGGTGAGCACAGACCTTTTCTTATGATGAAGTATTAAATATATAAGCCACTTTATTTTTTCTTGGCAGCCCTATTTTGATCAGTGCTACTGACTAATGTATGTCCTCTCTTTTGAGCAATGAGGTACGTGATGGAAGGCGGCACAGCATCTTCCGCATTCTCCCCTTCTTCATCCCAATCCTGTTCACATGTCTGGTGGAACCCAGAGCGACCTCTCAGTGGAGGCAGGAGGGGTTAGGTTTTCAAATCATTACCTAAAGCAGACATCACAGGAGGCCAACATTAGCCTCAAGAATCCGTTCCTGGCCCCAAAGGACACTGACACGCTTTTCTCTACACCCCTGTTCAAGAAGACATGGATAGGCAGGGTATTAAGAGTTCATTAGGAGGTCAGAGACAAAACGTAGTGTCCCGGCATCCTGCATCCTGACGGTATCCACAGAAACAGGAGAAATTCTCGCCTCTTGGTTCTCCTGTGATGGTCTCAGGTCGGGTTCTCTGTCCTGGGAGCCCGAGAATCCACTTGCAAGAAGAGCTGGTCCCAGCAGCGCCGCGGCACAGCTTAGAACTTCCCAGGGGTTCCTGGGCGTTATTTCATGGCTCTTCTGCCTGCTTCGTTTCATTTCTTTCCTTGAATACTCTTTCCTTTCCGCTCCATTCTGTTCCCCGCTCTCTCCTACCACCTACATTTCAAGTGCTCCCCTCCCCTTTTTCTTTTGTCCCCTCTCCTCTCCCTCCCCTGCCCTGGTTTGTTTTCCATTCTTGCTTCTGACACTCCCGGGTCCCTGCCCCTCCACTGTGCTCACCCCGCCTGCTCCGCTCACCCCGCATGCCCCCGCGTCCTCCTTTCTCGACTCTTCTCGCCCTCTTCTCCAGCTCTCTTCCCTCCCTCTCTGCCTCCCTTTCATCCTGCCTCCTTGCAGGCCGTCGTCTTAAGTAGGGCCTCCTTAGCCTTTTACCCTGCCTTCTCTTTCTCCCCACAATAATTCCCAAGAAAATAGTCATCCAAAGGGACTCTTTGCCCTCCAAGAAACTGAGTTACGGCCTGATAGGTTAGTAACAAAGACTTAGGACCTTCTCGTGGAGATGGTGGTGGCCTTTCTTCGCGGCCATGCAAGTCACAGAGAAGCCTAGATGTGGCTACAGTTTTAAGGAGCAAAGTAAAACTCCATCCCTCTATGTTCAATCCTAGCTGACAACCTCACTTGGTGTCACGGTGATGCATAAGAAAATGGAGCTGGGGCTACCGAAGTTGAAACCTGACACCTTCTAAATAGGGCGAATGTGAGTTATGCGAGTTTTGCCGACAATGTGGAATTTGGAGCACAATCATGAAAAAAAAAAATCCTTTCTATAGTAAAGATTTTAGGCCGGGCACGGTAACAGACCTGTAATCCCAGCACTTTGGGAGGGCAATGCGGAAGGATGGCTTGAGCCCAGGAGTTTGAGACCAGCCTGGGCAACAAAGTGAGACCCCCATCTCTACGAAAAATAAAAAAATTAGTCGGGTGTAGTGGTGTGCACGCCTGTGGTCTCAGCTACACAAGAGGCTGAGGCAAGAGGATGGCTTGAACCCAGGGGTTTGAGGCTGCAGTGAGCTATGATTGCACCACTGCACTCCAGCCTGGGCAACAGAGCAAGACCCTGTCTCAAGAACAACAACACAACAACAAAGATTTTAAATATGCAGAAAAGATTTTGCTTCAGGTGAATTTTTCTGGCTATATCTATGCCTATATACTCGGTCTAGTAATGGTTAATAGTTGACCGGGCGCGGTGGCTCACACCTGTAATCTCAGCACTTTAGGAGACCGAGGTGGGCAGATCACTTGAGGTCAGAAGTTGGAGACCAGCCTGGCCAACATGGCGAAACCCTGTCTCTACTAAAAACAAAAATTAGCTGGGTGTGGTGATGGGCGCCTGTAATCCCAGCTACTCAGGAGGCTGAGGCAGGAGAATCTCTTGAATCCGGGAGGCCGAGGTTGCAGTGAGCCAAAATCGTGCCACTGCACTCCAGCCTGGGTGACACAGCGAGACTCCATGTCAAAAAAAAAAAAAAAAGTAATAGTTATTTACATAGAAAATTCTGCTTTATTTTATTATTGAGCTATTTGAAGAAGAGTGGACCAGTGAAAACTACAGGTGAGGGTTGCCCAAATTTCACCTAAATATTTTAATATCTACATCTATGCAATAAATGATGAAGATGAAAAGGAAGTTGTATTTGTTGAGCGCCTGCTCGATGCCAGTCATTGTGCTAAGCTTCTTTGCACACACATGTGCAAATCAGCAGATAAGATTAAGACTGCATGATGTCATAGCACCTGGTGCCTGCTTCTATTACAACACTCTCTACTCACAGACTCTGTCAGCTGGAGTTTGGAAATCTTTATATCTGATTTTTCTGTATTTTAATGGTGATGTTTCTTTTTTTTTTTTTTTTTGAGACACAGTCTCGCTCTGTCTCCCAGGCTGGAGTACAGTGGCACGATCTCAGCTCACTGCAACCTCCGCCTCCCAAGTTGAAGTGATTCTTCTGCCTCAGCCTCCTGAGTAGCTGGGATTACAGATGTGCACCACCACACCTGGCTAATTTTTATTGTTATTATTTTTAGTAGAGATGAGGTTTCACCATGTTGGCCAGGCTGCTCTCAAACTCCTGACCTCAGGTGATCTGCCCGCCTCGGCCTCCCAAAGTGCTGGGATTACAGGTGTGAGCCACCACGCCTGGCCTTTAATGGTGATGTTTCATTAGCAAAATTTGAATTTCTAAAACTAATAATTGTCTTTACACAGTCACATGGGCACACGCTCTCCAGTCCAAGAGGGATCTCTTGGTCACTGGCAATGGAAGTTAGATTCTATGCTACTGTTTTCAAGATTCATGAATCAGAATACTCACCCTGAATTGTAGGATCCCCAAGCTAGAATCCTGTATAGATCATGAGTCCAGTGCTGGAGATCCTTAATCGGGAGCCCCCAGAGCGTTCATGACTTGCCCAAGGTCACACAGTGTCCACGCTGTGCAAGCTGCCACCAGCACCCCGTTCTCCACCCACCTGACAGGTGCTCGAGTATTTCCCTCTCCTCTTTCTTTTTCTTTAACATCTTATGTGACTTATAAAGATGACAGAAAACTTTGGTTCTTTTTCTTCGAGTTACCTTTCATAACAGGTTGTAGATGTCAATTTACGCCATCAGTTCATGCGTGCAAGAAATATCACTTTCTTTATGACTGTGAGATCCACTTAGTTAACATTCTCATCTAGTAATCCTTGGGGCCCTCTACCCTTCCCATAATCACACGAGGTTTTCAGGAGGCATGGGTACAGGGGCCTGGAAACTGGGGAATGTGCTCAAACACCCGGTTGCTGTTGGCCTCCTCATCTAAGCCCACACTGGTGAAGCCTGTGGCTTTATGTTTCCACACCGTGTGTAGAGTTTGTGATTTTTTTTTCAAAGCTGAGGTCCTCATGCCTGGTCCAGTCTTGCTAGGTGTGTTCTGCCGTGACCTCTCCTGGCATTGCTAGCCTCCTCCTACTCCATCCCTTCCCACATATACACTCCGGCTCCACCGTCTGATATCCATCTGCAGGCTGAGGCTGCCTCCTGGGCTTCAACCTAAAGGCTGGGGGAAGCTCTTCATGGCCCAGGTGGGAAAGGGGATGTTTTGGACCCAGACTGGAGTGGGCAGGAATATTCTTCTGATGCAGGGCAGGTGAGCCCCAAAGTGGGGCTTAGCCCAGGAGAGTTCTTGGCTTCGCCCAGGAAGAATTCAAGGGTCGGCTGTTGGTAGAAGAAAACAGCTTCATTGGCCAACGGTATTACAGTTCTGTTGGTGTTACAGCTCCATGACTGCTCCTGCAGAGCAGGGCTACCCCAGAGGCAGAGAGTAGCAGCTCAGGGCAGTGCTGCAATCCTATTTATACCACTTTTAACTACATGCAAATTAAGTTCCTGGAAAAAGGGTGGTAACGTCTGGGTGTTGCCATGGCAACACTAAACTGACATGGCACGCAGGTGGGCATCTTCTGGAAAGCTGCTTCTGCCCTGTCCCTGTTTTAGCTAGTCTTCAATTTGGTCTGGCGTCTGAACCCCACCTCCAGAGTTGAGTCCCACCTCCTACCTCACTTCCCTTCCAGCACGAGGATCACTACCAGGGAGAGCCAGGGTCAACTTCCTCCCAGCCGTGGCACTTTAGGCTTTCCTCCCTATCCGCAAGGCTCTGTCTTACCTCCAGAGAGAGTTGTTTAGCACCAGGGGGTTCTTCCACTCTTGCTCACTATCTGCCTTCTTCCTTCCAGCATGTGGCATGAATGTGCATCATAGATGCCAGACAAAGGTGGCCAACCTTTGTGGCATAAACCAGAAGCTAATGGCTGAAGCGCTGGCCATGATTGAGAGCACTCAACAGGTAGGAGCATGTGCCGTGGACACGTTCCCGCCATGGCCGCTCAGCAAGGATGTCCATGCACTTCTGCTGCTTCACCTGTGGCAGCCCTATGGGAAATGCCGGGATGTATTTCTGAGCACCGGCCTTGCCCTTGGCTTTCATATCCATGCCCACACCCCCTATCTTTGAGATATTTATTTAATGCATTTGTATTATGCAGATCTTTATAAAATCTTAAATTCTTCATGGCATGAGCATTGCAGAAACAAATAAATTCATTAAAGTTATTGAAGATTCATTGACAGCTTTATGTGAATATATTCGGGTTATAGAATAGCCTGGGGGAAAACACTTATGTGCTAGCATCATCCTCATGGAACACCGAGTCCAGGGCAAATTTGGCCTGCTGTTTACTGTTTTGGCATTAGCTGAATTCCTAGATCCAAGGATAAACCCTCTTTAAGACTTGGCATTGCCTGTATCAGCTGTTTTCCCATCCATTAACTACCTGTCCTTATTTGTGATGGAATGATGTAGACAGCATGAGAGAATCCTGTCAGCCCCAGAAAAGTGTGAAGGAGGCAAACGTGTTCGGCTAATGCATAAAATACAGTAGATAGACTCTCCCAGAATATGGGGTTCCAAAAGAACGTTGAGGATAAGGAGATCTTTGTTGACCCTATGCATTTAAACATTTTAAATGGCCTTTGTCCCCATCGTTAGCAGGCTGAGCTGTTCCATCAATGGTGGGTGGGTGGGTGGTCTGACTCTCTGTTTGTCATCCAGGCTCGCTGCTTAAGAGATACTGAACAGATCTTCAGAGAAGGTCCGGTTGAAATTGGTCTCCCATGCTCCATCAAAAATGAAGCAAGGCCGCCATGTTTACCGACACCGGGAAAAAGAGGTAGCTGTCCTGATCAGCAGTCTAATCACTGTCAGTCATTAATCTCAATTAACCCTAACCTAATGCCCTTGGATTTAAGTTATCAGCTTACCTGGTCTGATAGGTGATCCACCTCCAGCTACCAACTAAGAGGCTCCCACTTCTTAGAAAAGAAACTAAAACCTTTTACCTTTGTAAAAGGCAGGAGGTGGGGGTTAGAAAATGGGATAGGTCTGGAGGGAACAACCACAAATGTTTTCTTAGAGTTTCAGCATGTTACATTCTGTCAGTGTCAAATGGTTTCACAGAAATAAATCTGTCTTAAAATTTGATGGTGGGAAGGCCACAGAAGACATTCTTACTCTGCACCTTTGAGACTTAAATTTAAGGGTAGGAAAGAGAAGGACTCAAAGCCACTTTCATGACATTATGGCAGTTTTTCCAGCCTACTGTTTGAAAGCAGTTCATGAGTGGATATGACCCATGTTTCTGAGACCTGAGTCGTTTCAGCATACATTCTAAAATACTTAGTGTCCTTGGAAGAGTATGAAAGATAAACCTAGGGATTTAAAAATATAGAGACTATTGTAGGCAGGGGGAAATTCCTAAAAATTTCTCTTATGTTTTCTCTGACTTCAAATCAACTTAAAAATGTAAATGAAAGGTTTGGGTTACATTTAGGAGGGGTTGCCAGGCAGTCAAGGAGACTATGTCTTAGCAATGATCAACATAGGCAGCATCTTTTTTTTTTCTTTTTTGAAGACAGAGTCTTGCTCTGTGGCCCAGGCTACAATGCAGTGGCACAATCTCAGCTCACTGTAACCTCTGCCCTGTGGGTTCAAGGGATTCTCCTGCCTCAGCTTCCCGAGTACCTGGGACTACTTGCGCACACAACCGCACCCAGCGAATTCTTTGTATTTTAGTAGAGATGGGGCTTCACCATGTCGCCCAGGCTGGCCTCAAATGCCTGAGCTCAGGCAATCCGCCCACCTCGGCCTCCCGAAGTTGTCAGATTACATGTGTGAGCCACCATACCCGGCCAACGTAGGCAGCATCTTGACTTGAATTCTGGGATGAATGATGCAGTTCAGATCTTTAAAAATCTGCTAGATTTCATTTCCTGTCTCTCTCACGCTGTAAATTGTAGAAATTGATGCCACTGTGTTTGTGAGCCATGCAAACAATTGAAAATCATTTTTTTCCTAAAATTTGGTTAAAATCCCTAGATGTCCTTGATGTGGCATTATTAACAGTGCTTGTGTATTTTGCATATATGGTCTTTTACTGATTGGAATTTGTTTCTTAAGTTGAACTATTTCCCAGTCTATTGAAGAAAGAGACATAGTCCACACTCCAAAATCCAAATGCCAGGCTCACAGACAGGGGGTGCTGCCCTCACAGACAGATGGAAAGGTATTAAAGCTGCCTGAACTGTAGGAAACCCTCTAAACACCCCCAATTACTATGATGGAGCCTCAGCATGGGAAGTAGAAGAGAAAGCATGTGCTCTCAGTAACTAGAATGACCTCCATTACTCCATGTTCATTTTTAACCACCAGCTTGCATTTTCAGAGCCTCAGGGCATTTCCTGGGAGTCTCCGTTGGATGAGGTGGATAAAATGTGCCATCTTCCAGAACCTGAACTGAACAAAGAAAGACCATCTCTGCAGATTAAACTAAAAATTGAGGATTTTATCTTGCACAAAATGTTGGGGAAAGGAAGTTTTGGCAAGGTAAGCTAATGCACGGGAGAATGCTATGGCCCAACTCCAGGAACTGATGAGCCAAGTTCCTGGTCAAAGAAATTAAACTCATAGGGCCACTAGGATTGCATGTGAGTGTCAGAGACAGCTTTCCTGAGGGAGCGCTGAATAAATAGGGACCCCGAGGGCTCTAGGCCCATAGTAGCCTCAGCTTTCTGGAAACCTGTGTCTCCAAAGCTACTTTGCTTGGAGAGTGTACATCTCACACGCCTATGAGTTTGATGTCTTTGGGCACCAAAGAAATAGGAAGGTGCCTCAGCCACTTCCTGTTTCACACGGTGTTTGTGTTTGTTTCATTTTGTTTTCTCTTCTTTTGCTTCATTCTCAAGCCTGGAGTGTTGTTTTAGTTTGCATGTGATTTTTTTCTCTCTCTATTAAATATCTTCCAGCTTGTATAAGTTTCCTTGGGGTGTGATAGGGCTCGGCTCTGTGTCCCCACCCAAATCTCACGTTGAATTGTAATAATCCCCAGGTGTCATGGGAGGGACCCAGTGGAAGGTGATTGAATCATGGGGATGGGTTTTTCTGTGCTGTTCCCATGATAGTGAGTAAGTCTCATGAGATCTGATGATTTTATAAAGAGGAGTTTCCCTACACATGCCCTCTCACCTGCCACCACGTAAGACGTCCCTTTGCTCTTCCTTTGTCTTCCACCATGATTGCGAGGCCTCCCCAGCTGTGTGGAACCGAGTCCATTAAACCTCTTTCCTTTATAAATTATCCAGTCTCGGGCATGTCTTTATTAGCAGTGTGATAACAGACTAATACAGGCTGCTATAACAAAATCTCACATACTGGCTGGCTTAAACAGCAGAAATTCATGTTCTCGCAGGTCTGGAGGATGGAAGTTCACCATCAAGGTGTTGTCTGGGTTGTTTCTTCCCAGGCCCCTCTCCATGCTTTGCAATGGTCGCCCTCTCTCCATGCCTTCATATCATCTTCCTCCTGTGCATGTCTGCATCCAAGTGTTCTCCTTTTTTGAGATGACGTCTCACTGTGTTGCCCAGGCTGGTCTTGACCTCCCGAACCCAAGTGATCCTCCTGTCTCAGCTCCCTAGTAGCTGGGATTACAGTTGTGCCACCACACTCTGCTTAAATTTTCTCTTCTTGTGAAAACACCAGTCATATTGGATTAGGACCTGCCTTAATAACCTCATCTAACCTTAATTACCTCTTTGAAGGTCCTGTCTCCAAATACAGTCACTTTCCAAGGTCCTGGGGATTGGAACTTCAGTATAGACACAATTCAGCCCATAAGAAAACTGTAGCTTGAGAGTCCTGGAAAAAAAT
The DNA here is from genome assembly GCF_000001405.40 of Homo sapiens. NCBI lineage: Eukaryota > Metazoa > Chordata > Mammalia > Primates > Hominidae > Homo > Homo sapiens. The sequence continues at coordinate 6,482,119 of NC_000010.11, read as the reverse complement.
TGTGGAGAAAGTCCCTCCTCTAAATTCTTCCTGCCATACATGCAGGTGGGGGGTTGTCTCCATCACTCACAGATGACAAGGAGAGGAAGGAAAGAGGGAGAGGAGGAGCAAAAAAAAAAAAAAGGGGAGGTGAGAAGAAGGAAGAAGAGATAATTTAAGAAATTATAACCAACTACCGGTGACTGCAGAAAATTTTCAAGCTGGTGATTTAAGGAGGGATGATATGGAATATAGGCTTTTAGGTAATTTTTGATATTAAGGGTATCTCATGTATTAACGGGGCTCCTATTTGTTTTACATTCTTGGATGGGACTCCCAGGAAAATTTTAATCAGAGATGACTGTTCTATGAATCTGTGCAGCCAAAGGCAGCATTATACACCACAACTGCTCACCAGACTTTGGCAGGATGTCTTACCCAGTTTATTTAATATTAAACAAACTAAAATGCAACTGAGCGGTCACCACAGCTGAATAATATTGAGCTCCATTTGGGGTTTGGATTTAAACACTGATGCCTTGCCTTTCAGCAGAATCGACTCTGTCCAGCACATGGTAGCTGATATTCAGGAATTCTTTTTGTTCAGTTCCACAATAATATGAACCACAGTAGGCTCATTTGGTGCTAATCTGAGCATAATAGGCAATGTTACAGCCAGTCTTCATTGTAATTTAGCAGCAATTAATGTGCAATTATAACCTGTTACCAAAAATTGAAAGCACATTATATAGATGGAAATTGTCTTTTTGGCTTCTTAGTTTATGGCTGGTTTTAGGGTGTTTTACTGAAAGAAGCAATTACTAAAAGAGGACTTTTAATTGTTAATGAAATGTTTATCTTTCTTTGTTCCCATGTGGATTTCCACATTTGAATAAGGTTAATAAGGAAGACATTAAGTTAAACCTACAAGCCTTAGTCGGTATCCCAAGGTGCAGCTGGGAGCCCCAGGTTTCCCCCACTCCATGTCCAAAGCTGTCTACTTCTTTTCATCAGGACCCTGGGTCCCTATACACGGAGAGGAGAGGAGGGGGAGATATCAAAGCAAGACAGGATGGCTGTTTCTCTTTCTCACAACACTGAGAATACTCCAAAACTTGTCTTTTCTCTCTCTTCTGGCTTTATGTGGAAAGTATGTTTCCTCACCAAGACCTCTATACCCTTGTTCTCAAACAAATTTTAAGCCTAAGAAAACAAATTGTGTGTTCTCTGGGGATGTGAGCATCATTCATTTGCCTGAATTCCCATCTAAGTTTCATCCCTTCCCTTCTATCAAGTCAGCTACCATCAAGCTACGAACCTGCTCCGTCGCTTTTAAACCTAGACACTTACATGTTCAGGGCTGTTGTCACATCATTGACTTCGGCCTTTCCCAAAAGTCAATAACAGAAACAAATGACAAATGACTGAATTTTAGCAACTGTGATTCAGAGATCATTTTAGAGTCTACTTTCCCAGGTCTCATCTTACCTGACTTTCACAACAGTCCTGTAAGTTAGAGAATGCAGTAGTAATTGGAAACTGAAGCCCAGAGGGGCTAATTCATCTGCCCACATTTCCACAGCTAATAAATGTCTGTGAAATAAAACTAGAGCTAGAATTTTCTGTATCCAAATGCCATGCCCTTACCATTGCCAACAGTGTGTTGCTGCATCATTTGCAAAAACTAAAATTGTTGAAACCCTCCATCATATGCCATCTGGTGTCCTTTGATATAAGAGCCACAAAATCAAGTGGGAAAAGTAGATTTTGGAGTTAAATCTTCCCTCATAGCTCCAAGAATCTGAGCAAGTTATTCTTTGAACTCAGTGTTTGTTGTTGATGTTGTTAACTTCTGTCTTGCAGAGTGTGATGAGCTAAGAATTAAATTAGATAATACAATTAGGTCGTAAGTGTAAAGTAGGTAGCAGAGTGTATGACACACAGTAGGTCCTAAAATGTTTCATTCCCATTTTGGTGTCCTTTGATACGAGAGCCACGAAATCAAGTGGGAAAGTAAACTTCGGAGTTAAATCTTTCCCTAGTAGCTCGAAGAATCTGAGCAAGTTATCCTTTGAACCCAGTGTCAGTCACATTTTAGGACCTACTACATGCCATACATTCTGCTATGAATAATTCATTGCTGTGTTGTCAGAGAAAATGGTGTTTACTTATTTATTTTTTTTTATTTTGAGACACAGTCTCACTCTGACGCCCAGGCTGGAGTGCAGTGGCATGATCTCAGTTCACCACAACCTCCGCCTCCCAGGTTCAAGCAATTCCCCACCTCAGCCTCCCGAGTAGCTGGGACTACAGGCACCCACCACCATGCCCGGCTAATTTTTGGATTTTTTTTTTTTTTTTTTTTTTTTTTTTAGTCGAGACGGGGTTTCACCATGTTGGCCAGGCTGGTCTCGAACTCCTAACCTCAGATGATCTGCCTGCCTTGACCTCCCAAAGTGCTGGGATTATAGGCTTGAGCCACCGCACCTGGCCGGTGTTTATTTTTTAAGTACACAAGGAGAACTATATCCCTCCATTCTTCTTTTGGCCTGGAAAAACTGGGTAAAACGTAAAGCTAGGATTTATGTGCACTTGCAGTGATGTTTCGAGTACAGTTTCTCCTCTCCACACTCAACTCTTCTTTCTTCACTGTGCACTTTATCTCTCTGGATTTTTATTGTACCTTCACTCAGATCCCTGAGCAGGCAGGGCACACTTTTAAAAATCCATTCAATTGCTTAATAATTTTGTGAACCCTTGGAAAGAGTACAAAGATAGTATGAAATAGTGATGTCATGTCCGAAACCAGAGAAGTGCTCCATTTTGTCTCAGGAATGGCCTATGCAGGATGGATGGGGGTTGGAGAAGGAACCCCTTTTCCCACCCAACACAGGTGTCTCTCAGGACTCTGTCTCTTTTTTAAGAAATGGGAATCCAAATTCTAAAATAAAGTTACTTCTTCCCTCTCCTTCTAGGTCTTCCTGGCAGAATTCAAGAAAACCAATCAATTTTTCGCAATAAAGGCCTTAAAGAAAGATGTGGTCTTGATGGACGATGATGTTGAGTGCACGATGGTAGAGAAGAGAGTTCTTTCCTTGGCCTGGGAGCATCCGTTTCTGACGCACATGTTTTGTACATTCCAGACCAAGGTATGGCTTCTGCTCCGACAACCCTACCTCCCCTCTAACCTGTCTCAGCATGATACCTTCAATGGCGCCCTCATTAGGAGACACGAGTCATTGCCTCCATATTTATCTTACATTTCGGTGTACCTGCCATCCATCCAAACATCCCTTCTACACACCATGGAAGTATTACTTAGAATGTTTTAGTGTCATCAATTGGGAAAGATCTTTACTTCTAGATTTGTTTGTCTGTTTTCCTGTTTTTTAGAATTTGGTTTCATTTAGCATAACAACCAGGCTTCTCAGCAGTCCGTGACTTAGGGGAAAATGTAACAAGTGTTTGTTCATCTACCCTGCATGTACTGGAAGAGATAAAAGTTGGAAAATAGATCAAAACGCACGTACACTATTATTTTTCTCTTCAAGGCTGGCAGAAAAAGCAGCCTTGGAGTGGGCTCATCAGTGAGCAAGCCCCTGAGCTGGGAGGTGGAGGTTGGATGCGTCTGCATTCCCACTCGGTGTTGGGACCCTTTCCTTATGCTGAATTTGCCAGAAGGCTGTGCCGTTCTGGGAGGACTTGCATCCTGGTCTCCTTTTTCCTTAAAAAAACAAAAATTATCCTTTTCTTTCCTGACTCAAAATTATTCAGGATCATTGTAGAAAATTTTTATAAACTCAAAGAAGAAAATCACTTATAATCCCACCACTTAAGATATACTCGCCATTAATACTTTGAAGTTTCTCCTTCTATAGATTCTCTCTGCAGTGGACTTCTAAAAACAAAAATAGCAACCCACTGTAAATACCTACTGCACTGTACTCTGCATTTGTTACACTCTATTTTGAACATTTTCTTACGTCTTTGGATATTCTACAACGTGATTTAACTAGAACATCTCTAATTTTTTGTTCTGATTTAAATAACACTAAAATGAACATCCTCGAAGATTAGTTTTCATGCACATGCATTATGATTCTTCTTACTGGTTTGTCTCCTCTCTGCCACCCCATCCCGGCTGTCCACCACCCGCACTAATTAGCAGCCTCAAGTGGGACCATATGACTAAGGGCCAAAGAACACAAGGGGCGGAGGCTTTTCCATTTTCTGTTTTCTTTCTTTTTGTTTGTTTGTTTTGTTTGTTTGTTTTGAGACGGAGTCTCACTCTGTCGCCCAGGCTGGAGTGCAATGGTGTGATCTCAGCTCACTGCAACCTCCGCCTCCCGGGTTCAAGTGATTCTCCTGCCTCAGCCTCCTGAGTAGCTGGGATTACAGGTGTGCACCACCACACTCAGCTAATTTTTGTATTTTTAGTAGAGACAGGGTTTCACCATGTTGGCCAGGCTGGTCTCAAACTCCTGACCTCAGGTGATCCACCCCCCTCAGCCTCCCAAAGTGCTAGGATTACAGGCGTGAGCCAACGCACCCAGCCCTTTTCCCATTTTCTATCTCAAGCCATGACGACTGGAGAGTGAATGAGGGAAAACTTCTAAGGAGACTTGAGCCATGGGAAGAATTAATGAGGGAACCAGGGAATGAATGAGGAAAGTGGATGGCAACTGGGGCATCCATCACCACCTCTGCAGTTCCCAGTAGATTCTCAGCATATGTGCAATAACCAAATCAATGAATAAATGCACTTACCTAAGATAAAGAGAAGCCAGACCATGGCAAAGCACTTACTGAGCATATGCTGTGCTCAAAGCACTGTGGAGGATACAGAAGTATATAATACAGCTCCCGACCTTGAGAACTTCACACTCTAATAAGAGTCAAGGCTGCATTTCTAACAGTATGAGTAATATTAGATCAGAAGGCAGACACAAAGTACCAGAGCTGAGAGAAACTAGAAAGAGGAATTTGAATGGGCAGAAAGGGCCTTGGGCATGAAAGGTGTGGCTGCAGGAGAGGAAGTAGAAAAGAGTGAGGTGTCCTGGTCAACTATTTAGGAGAATGCAGGCCCGCTTCCTGCTGCAGGGAGCAGGCTGGAACTTCCCATGATGAAGGCTAGAAGAGATTTTGTACTAGAAACTCCCTCCTGGAGATGATAAATACCCATTGGCCTGGGAGGGTGAAGGTATGTCACCTGCAGGCAAAGGGACAAACTCTGCCACCCTCTCCATGCTGTTGGGAGGGTGAAGGTATGTCACCTGCAGGCAAGGAGACAAACTCTGCCACCCTCTCCGTACTGTTGTCTAGATTTTCTGCACATGCTGGGGCTCCCTGTAATCTTTTCCCTTTGCAGTATTTTGAGGCTTGTAGCAAACTGCTAAACACATTTTTTCTTTTTTGCCATAAATAAAGATTTTTACTGTAAAGCTTTCATAGTAGCGAAAAATTGGAAACAACACAAATACCCAATGACAGATTTATTGAATAAATTATTATATGGTCAGAGAAAATAATACTATATAACCATTTTAAATGATGATGTAAATGCTTAAACATCAATACAGAATGTTGTTTATGAAATCATAAGTGAGAATATATAGTATTTCCTTTTAAGCAAGAACATTTGCATGTATAAGCATGAAAAATAATGAAAAACTAACAGTTGTTAATTGGGAGGTAGGATTATAACTGATTTTATTTTTATTATATCTTTCTGTGTATGTTACTATAAACACATTTTAGACTGGGCTTCTGGGCACTTAGGCAGTTGTGCTTCTCTTGGTGCCTTTTCCCCATTTTTTTTTTTTTTTTTGATTTGCATGTATGACAGTTTTCATGTCTTACGGGGAAGGCTATTGGGAATCCCACTTTGTAGAAGATAGGTATGCTCCTTTCTCTTGCCTGTCCATCACAGCTTCAGGCAGCATTTGTTTCTGTCCCTCTTATGAGAGATCTCCTTAACCCATTTATGCCTGAGGTTGCAACTTTTTGAATTTTGAAATCAGACCTTGGTGATGACCTTGAGCAGTAGGATATAAATAACTCCCACATGCTTAGCGTTCCAATAATGGAACACTAGGCATAAATGAGTTCCGTGCAGCTGGGATGCTTTACCAAGACCTGAGCCACAAGTGCATCCACAGCATTGGTGCTGGGAGAGAAAAAAAAACTTCAGCAGAGAATGTTTACATGAAATGTAAATCTGACTGGCTCAAGACTCAGATCTCAAGGAACTGAGTCCTTTTAGAAAGAGGAAAGAAACAAAGGAAGAAGCTTGAATCACCTTTTCCAACACCCCGAGTTGTTGTTTTTGAGATGTCTTAATTATTCAAACCTTGCTTGTCAAAGTAACTGATTAAATACCACAAGTGAATGCAAAAGGCAACGATTGATACGTGATATGGATAATGCTTTGTTCTGGGAACATGTTGGGAATGACCTTTCTTGGGAGGACAGTTACCTGTGTATGCTAGTGTAGACATCAGATAAGATAAATTAACTATGTACTTCTCCAGGGCATTGTTATTTTTTAAAGGAAGTTATTCATCTGCTCTCTGCCTCCAAAGAGCGCACCTGTTGAATACCAGATTATTCAGGAGATTCTGAGGACAGGTATTCACTTGTTATTAATTAGGGTCATTTGGATTAAATTGTTAAAGTTTTTAAAGTTCCTAGATGAGGGATATATCACCTATGGAAGGGTGAAAATATGATAAAGCCATTTAGGAAGCTACAAAATGTGAAAATTCCTGTGGACTTGGATTCCGAAGTTCAAGCCCAGCTCTGCCGTTTATCAACAGGGCTCTGAGGCACCCACTTTACCCCTGCCCAGGACAGAGAGTAAGAGTTACAGGCAGAGGGGCTGGGAGCTGTAAAACCAGGGGCCCTAATGGGACGGCACCGTCTGGGGACATAGATGTACAGGATAATTCATGAAATCTGAACCTGAATCTGAATGAGGCTCAAATCAAAAGAATCTTCACAATGAATTTTCTGTGTGCTAGATCAAAATGACTTTGTACATCATCCAGGCTCTGGCATAAATTACTGGCTCAGGGTCTAACGTAGATCAGCATTCTGAGAGGCTGCTGTCTTGGCAAGAGGAAAGAAGGGCTAGCTCTTCTTTCTTTTACTTTTTTTCTAACATTTCTTTGTTGTTAATATTTACATTTTCTGTCTTACAAAGTCTGCAGGGCTTGAAATTGCACGATCCCTTCTCAGTACCCCCTTCAGTGCGGATGCCAGCCAACTTTTGCACTACTAGATTTCCAACTTAGATTTTTAACAGTTTCCATTACTTACATTTTAAAAAGTAAAAAAATAGGAAAATCCACAATAAAATTTGTCTACAAGAAGAGTTGTCATAAATCTTTTAACTATCCACTTACAAGTAGATTTAAAACAATTAGAAAAAAATAATTAACCATAAAACTTTGAAACACAGGGAAAAATAAACACTGAAACAGTTTCCCTCTTTTTAGTTATGCTGCAGTAAAAGAAAGATTAATAACTCAAGTATCCAAAGTTTCTGTGTTCTATCTCTGATAAAACTGTGGAAAAATAAGAGGATTTATTTCTAAAATTTGTTTGGAAAGGAAAGATGCATCTAACACAGTAAGGATGCTATTTCTTTTTAATTTCAAGGAAATAATTTTCCCTTAAAAATTAAAAGTGAACTAAAGTCTACCTTCCTCTGTGTCTCCTTTGAATTCTGAAAGGCCGATCTGTATTCTGACATTTAAGTAGTGTTACTATTTCACACCTAAGTAGCTCTAGATCCTATAGGAACAGCTCTGTCTCTGGGTCGTTCCCTCAGGTTGGATTTGAGGGCAGGCCGCCGTGGTTTTGCAGGCCTCTGAAGAGAGGCCTCCCAGGGTGATGCCAAGAGGCAGAACGCTAGTGTTCCTGGATTCACATCACTGCCCTTGACTCCCACACTCCCAATATGCACCAGTTGAACATTCTTGGTCAATATCACTTTGAAATTTTTCTTTTATGAAAAAGAAAACTGAGTTTCACTTTCTATTCATAGAACACACAAAGCTCTACTTCCGGTTATGGCTTCAGGGCATGAGTGTGTGAGTTACTTTGAACAAGTCACCTAACATTTCTTTGTGACACTGGTTCTCCTTTTTTGCTTCCTAAGGATAACGTGAAAAATAATAATAATAACAATAATAGCACTTGCAGAGAAGTTTGGATCTTTTTTGGAGAAAGTACCATACTAACTACAAGATATTATTATCATTTAAAATTAAAAAGAAAAACTCCTTGAACTTGATACTTTTTAAAAAGTATGTCATCCTGGTATTTCCATAGTTTTAAGGCAAAATCCATCTAAGAAAGTTTTTAATTTCAAGCATTTTATTCAGAAACTGCTTCATCTGAAGCTCTCAAAAATGCTGCAATCCATGAACCTTTCAGTTGAGCTAGGAGCCCTGGAAATTACCACAATTGTAGCAAAGAAAAGAAAACCCACGGAAACCACATCCTTCCAAAGACGTGTCCCTGCACTAAGACAAGAATTAACTTTTCATGCTGCCCCCATCTGTAGTGACAGATAAGCCTCTTTTCTTTAACGTCCTCTGGCGGCGTTCTGATCCTGAGAACGCTTACACGTTGTTATTTCAGAAACTGGGGATCACTCAGACATTCTGCAGGTTCCCCTGCTATGTAACCAAACTGTGATTTGGCAAATGTTAGATTTTATAGCAAATTTACAAAAATGAGTCGATTTACAGCTGTCAACCTGAAATAATCAAAAAGGCCAGAATCTAATTTAAAGAGCATTTATTCAAACTCAAAGTTTGAGGATGGCCCACCTGGAAACACCCCAAAAGAATGAAGTCAGAGTTGTAAAGGAGGGAACTTTAGGGTTTCCATAGGGAGAGACAGAGGCATTTTTAGCAGGATTACATTTTTTCATACAAGGCTGGTGCATAGTTCCAGGAACTTGGTTACAGGCAGTGTTTCTTTTTGGGAAAGGGACATTTAACATCTTTTACAGAGTGTGCTATAGTCATGGGTTTTCTGTCATCTGGTCTAAGGAAAATAGGACAAAAAAAGGAAAAGGTAATCTTTAACAAGATTCATTAATTAAAAAGGCAGGAGGCGGCCAGGCACGGTGGCTCACACCTGTAATCCCAGCACTTTGGAGGCTGAAGCGGGTGGATCACCTTGGGGTCAGGAGTTTGAGACCAGCCTGGCCAACATGGCGAAACTCTGTCTCCACTAAAAATACAAAAATTAGCCAGGCGGGGTGGTGGGCACCTATAATCCCAGCTACTCAGGAGGCTGAGGCAGGATAATCACTTGAACCCATGGGGCGGAGGTTGCAGTGAGCTGAGACCACACCACTGCACTCCAGCATGGGCGAAACAGTGAAACTCCGTCTCAAAAAGAAAAAAAGAATAAAAGAAGTCAGGAAGTGTTTGTCCCTGACAATTGTTTAATTCTCTCTAGTCATTGTACAGAACAAGAGAAAAAAGGAAGCAAGTTAATCTATAATCTGAGAAACAGAAGTTGTAACCATATGTGACTCAGATCACAGTCGCATCTCTCTCAAGGCGTAAAACGCATTTTAGGAATTCTAACACCTTTTAAATGTTATTTATTTTCACACAGTAATTTATGGGAAATTAATGTTGCACTCACAATGTTTCCTTACAGTTTTCTCGTCCAAATACACAGGAAATAACGGGCAATGAGTGAATACATATTCAGGAATTCTTGGACTAAAAGAACAAGACACTCACTCAGTGCATCTGAAATGCCGCATCTTTCCTACATGCCTGCTTTTTTTTTGTTTGTTTTTTTCTGAGATGGAGTCTCGCTCTGTCGCCCAGCCTGGAGTGCAGTGGTGCGATCTCGGCTCACTGCAAGCTCTGCCTCCCGGGTTCACGCCATTCTCCTGCCTCAGCTTCCCAAGTAGCTGGGACTACAGGCGCCCACCACCATGCCTGGCTAATTTTTTGTATATTTAGTAGAGATGGGGTTTCACCGTGTTAGCCAGGATAGTCTCAATCTCCTGACCTTGTGATACACCCACCTCGGCCTCCCAGAGTGCTAGGATTACGGGCGTGAGCCACCGCGCCCGGCCCCTACACGCCCACTTTTTAAGCTCACAGATCTGTTCTCATCTTGATGTGACTCTGTAATATTCTTCCAGGCTCATGGCCCATATTATCTGCCCATTCCTTTGTCAGCCATTCTCACAAAGTCCCAAAAGTATTGTCACCAGCTTCCCAGAAGACATGAGCATTTGACATCTCCTTCAAGAGAGTGCCTCAGGAAAGTGCATGCCTTCTGTGAATCTACTATCCCTCTTTTGTTTTTTGTTGTTGTTGTTGTCATTGTTGTGTTTGTTTGTTTGTTTTGAGAAGGAGTCTCACTCTGTCGCCCAGATTGGAGTACAGTGGAACGATCTCGGCTCACTGCAACCTCCATCTCCTGGGTTCAAGTGATCCTCCTACCTCAGCCTCCCAAGTAGCTGGAATTACAAGCGTGCGCCACTGCGCCCAGCTAATTTTTTTTTCTTGGTATTTTAGTAGAGATGGGGTTTCACCATGTTGGCCAGGCTGGTCTCAAACTCCTGACCTCAAGTGATCCACCCACCTCGGCCTCCCAAAGTGCTGGGATCACAGGCATGAGCCACCATGCCCAGCCTACTCTCCCTCCTTTGAAACCTTGCTGACAAACTACCTACTCTATAAATCACGCTCAGATACACTAAATCCTACTTGTCATTCAGACGCTCAGGCTTCTCAGCTTACGTGACCCAGAAAGATGATTTTGCTCCTGTACTGCTGGGTGTCTTCTGTGACTTCTTTCATATGTTCTGTTTAAATAATACCTTGTCTATGTAAATAATACATTCCTTGATACCAAGATGCATGTTTCGCTCTTTTCTTTTGTTTCATTTGCCCGTAGAGTGCTAGATAATGTTCAGGGGCTGGGCACAGGGGGGAGCGGAAGAGAAAAAGAAAGATAAATGGTCTGACTGTAGATCATACTGGCTAACTCAGGTGCCAGGAAGGCTGGTCCCGAATAGAACTGCAGAGGAGAAGTCTATCTTTGACAAACCCTCTTCCCACCCCTCTCTGACCTCCTGTTTCATTATTTTCCCCTTCATCCCAGAGTTCACATGATCTTGTACCCACTGTAGCTATCAGGTCTCTGCCTTGATTTTTTTTTTTTTTTGCGACAGTCTCACTCTGTTGCCCAGGCGGCTCAATACAACCTCCACCTCCTGGGTTCAAGTGATTCTCCTGCCTCAGCCTCCCAAGTAGCTGGGGTTACAGGTGTGTGCCACCATGCCTGGCTAATTTTTGTATTTTTGGTAGAGATGGGATTTCACCATATTGGCCAGGCTGGTCTTGAACTCCTGACCTCTAGTGATCCACCCACCTCAGGCTCCCAAAATGCTGGGATTATAGGCATGAGCCACCGCGCTTGGCCTCTGCCTTGATCCTTGATGGCAAAATCGTTCTTCTCCATCTCCTTGTCTCTCCCCCTTAAAACTTCTGTCACTTCAGGAACCTCTTCTCCACCACCAGTCTTAGAGAAATATCTGATAAATAGCATAGAGCAGTTTAATATGTGTTGTTCCTAGCAACGATTTCTTCCTAAAGTGGAGCAGAGTGGAGTTTCCTTATTAGACCCAACATTACGTTGTATTTGAGGTGATTACAGTTCCCATCCTGAGGAGGTGACACGCATGGGACTCTTCAGGGGAAACTGTGGGAATATATGAGCGTCAGAATCAACGTACTGCAGAAATTCAAGTGCTAAACCACAGAAAAGCCCTCTTTTACAAAGTAGGAGGAAGAGCAGGGGGGAAAGGTGATAGGGAGGATCCCTTGGGGTGGTAAGAAGAGGAACAGAGGAGTTAGGAGTATCGGAGGACAGGAGAGGAAAGAATTTCAAGAGAGAAAGGATCATATATTTAATGTGGTGAAGAGTTGACAATCAAAAACTGAGTGTGGAATGTGTCATGGAGGAGGAACAGACAATACAGTGTGAAGGAGTGAGTGGTGGATAGGCAGATTCAGTGGTGATACAGAAATCTTCCAGAAAGAGTTTTCAGAAGATGGAAGCTCATTATGACTGCAGAGTGTAAGGGATGAGAATCATGGGAAATGCTTGAGCCAGAGATGGAGAAACCAGACAAGAGGGAGACTATTCAGGTTGTAGCCTTTTCAGATAGGCTTCTTTCACTTAAGAATATGCATTTAAGGGTTCTTCTTTTCTTTCTGTGGCTTGAGAACTCATTTTTCATTGCTCAGTAATATTCCATTGACAACTAATGATTTGTTATGTTCTTTTGTTTTCCTTATAATGACAGACTCCATGGATCAAGAATTTTAGAGTAGGGAGGGGTGGTAGAGGTTATCAAGTCAGATCCCCTCATTTTGCAGCAAAGGAAATGGAGCTCCAGAGAAGATAAGCCTAGCTGGTCACAGGAGAGTGCTCTTTTCTGTGGTCAATCCAAAATTATTAGTAAAGTTGAGACTTCAAGATACCTAAACACAAATCCAACTCACAACTTATTTAATTGGAAAATTGTTCATTCCATGTCCTAAACCTTAGACCCAAGCAAGAGGGGTTCCGCCCAGCCCCTCACTTAGAATCCTCCCTTTGGCCTTTCTCAAACCACACTCCTTCCTGTGAAGCCAAGAGGTCGTCTCTGTTCCTAAACTACTCCCCAGGACCTCGGAATTCCATACCTAAACAGCCTCAAGCCTGTGTAGACATCTCCCTAGGTTCTGTCCTTGAAAGGGGCAGGAGGAGACTTTCCCGATATGGCCAATTAACTGGTGCAGAATTTTGAGGGATCCTGAATTTGTCACGATCCTTCTTGGTCATTATGAAGTTATATTTCCCAAGAGACAGAACATATAGGAATGTAGAGCATATTTAATTGAATTGTTGGTGAGCTTGATTAATAACACTTAAACCTGGGGACCCACAGTGTGGGGCCTCCCTCTGCACACTCGCTCCAAATCTTGCAAAGGTTGGGGCTGTCCTTTTTCTGATTATAATGCAACTTAATGCTTTTCTTCCCTGTGTGATAAATAATAACAATGTATGTGATAAAGTTAATACATAAGGAGTTCTTGCTATATGCCAGGCACAGGGCTAAATACTTTATATGAATTCTTTCATTTAATTTTAAATATGAACGATAGCTCCCCTTTCTTCTTCAGAGCAGAATTCCCAACTCTTTCCATCGGCTGTCCTATGAGATGTCCCAAAGAAGAGTTGAATTCTATCTCTGGTTTTCATCTTGTTGTACTACAGTCTTCGCTGTTGTAACATTTGTTACGTGTCCTTAACATATGATACTTTGAAAGGTGTGATGGTAAATTTAGATGTTTTGTCATAAATATTTTGATCTTAATTTTATTTATTTTGCAGAGATTGCAAATATTCTCTTGTGTAAAATTTATTACGTTGGTTTACTAGCCTTCGGAGAAAAAAGATACCTCGAAAAAAATGACTATAATTATTCTTTTCCTTCTTTTCCCATCTTGTTTTTCTGGAGAGGGAGTCTACAAATCTGATCTTATTTGCATGATATTTGCCAAGTTCTCAGTGCATTTACAAAATTAACTGTTATTAGTCTGATAAAAATCATGAGTTTATTTCTTTAATGCTATAAACCTGTCATTCATCCTATAATATATGCACATTTGCCAGCCATTTCCTTGTTTACTCAATATTTGATTAGCTGTGTTGAATAGTCATCACAACTAAACACTTTTCCATTCTCTTTATTCTCATTCTCTCCTTTGAAAAGTGTAATCACTGTAAGAAGAAAGCAGTGTAGAAGCTAGGTTGTATTAAATAACTTTTGAGGCCACTTTTACAATTCACCCTTTACTAATTCTAGAATATTCACAAAATGTCCTATTCCTCCCTTTAAAGAACTATCTTGTGTTTTAAATAATGATATATTTTGACAGCTCTAGGACCTTTATCTGCTCCAAATGATATTTGTGTATGCAAACGCAGTCCTATGAGAATTATACAACTGATTTTGTTAAATCTATCACTTTGATCTTGTATTTAATCATCATTTTTTTTAAGACAGGGTCTCACTCTGTTGCCCAGGCTGGCTTTGGACTCCTAGGCTCAAGTGAACCTCCAGCCTCAGCTTCATGAATAGCTGAGATTACAGGCATGCACCTCTGCACCCAACTTAAATACCATTTCTTTAAAACATCAATAACACAAACATAAGAGTCATACAGCTTTGATTACCCACCTATCTACAGAATGTCAACATTGTTTATTGCCTTCAGTTGTCTGGAAATCACAACAAAGCTGTAGGTAATGGTGACTCTCTCATTTTCATGGACAGGGTTCATTTTTCAGAGGAGGAAACCAAGGCCCTGTGATGGTGGGATTTACCTGATCACACAGCTGATTAGCGACAGTCTCATTTCTCACAGACTAGAATTTCCATTCGACAGATGCTTTGCCAGGAGTTGTTGACAGTCGGCAAGACTGGGACGCGTTTGGCATGTCCCATCCCCCAATGCCATCACAGCTTCAATTCTCACCCACCGGAAAGAATCATTTGCCTCGGTTAATGTATTACCCGCCATAAAGACGTGAGGTCTAGACTAGTAAGTGACATTTACAATTAACCCAACACAGGCCACATTCTCTCCCTCCCTCCCTCCCCACCATCTCTCTCTCTCTCTCTCTCTCTCTCTCTCTCTCTCTCTCTCTGTCTGTCTCTCTCTGTCTCTCTCTCTCTCTCTGTCTCTCTCTCTCTCTCTCTCTGTCTGTCTCTCTCTGTCTCTCTCTCTCTCTCTCTCTCTCAGCCTGCTTGGTATCCTCTCTCAGCAGGTGGCCAGAACCTAAACGGCAGCCCAGGAGGGAATCTAATTCTGTTTTCTTCTTTCTTTCGAGAGCCATCGGCCAGAGAACTGTTCATTTGCTTCTTCTGGGAAGTATTTGCTGGTTTTTGGATTGGTTTTGGTTTTGTCTTTCCTGGCTTTTAAATTGCTTCCTAGAAGGACAGCTGCCATCAGTTATCAATTGCCCACTGAGGACCAATGCAGAGATTCATTTCCACACACACTATTTTGTTTAATACCCACAGCAACCCTAGGAGGTAGGAGTATTACTACCCCATTTCACAAACTAAATGAAGCTCAGGAGAGGTTAAGTCACGTCTCCAGAGTTATAAATAGAGGGGCTTTGAACCCAGGGCTGAGTAAGGATGAAGCCCACATTCTTTGCAATTACTCTGAGTCTCATTCTTCTTGGTTTGTTTCTATCTATGCCAGCCCAGAGTCTTTCCAGCAGGCAGACACTTCTTTTTGCTTGCGGTTCTGCAGAGGTTCTAGTCAGCTGTGGGTTGCCTTCAACTCTGAGCTCTCCTTCCCCAGCTGTTTATGAAAGTTTGAGCCTATTATATTTGTATTTACCTTTTATGATGGGATTTTGGATTCAGCTTTTAAAAGGCTTATCCATCCCTCAAAATGTGCTCCTCAAAATCCAAACCTCTGGACTGTGTAGTTTGTATGTGCATACATTTGTGCTAATTTTATCACAGAGCAGAACAGATATTTGACAGATTTATTGTGGAGCCTGCAGTTCTCTTGGGAGGGTTAAATGTGGGGCATCCAACATACTATAAATCTCCATTGCTGTTAATTAATAATCACTAGTAACGTAGTCTTCTTCTCACCCTCATGTTAGTAAACACTGACTGTGCCCTGTGATCTCTTAGACTTTAATGGCCAATTCAACCCCCCCAATGCTCACCACTAGTGTGGCGTCTGATTCAGACCTGAGAATAGGTGGGAAGGTGTGTGGAATGCATGGGAGTGGGGCTGAACTGTTGCCTCCAGTCCCCTCCCACCACTTTCTCCACATCTAAATTGACAGTGTTAAATTCTGAAATGTCAGCCTTTCTAGGAATTTGTAAGCATCCAAACACTTAGAAGAAACCGTTCACTCAAGCACTGTTGGAAATGGTTTCGCTCTACACTTTCATACGCTTTGCTCTCGTGACTACTTAAAAGAAGATTCCACCTTTGTGGCTTGTATAGGGCCATTATAGTTTGAGTAAAAAGCTGAGGTTAGAACAGAAGCTCTTTCTGTGGTGCTGATGAGAGCAAGAGGTAGCATGAGAAAGCAGGTGTGTGCAGGCAAAGCCAATGACGACTCTCAAATTGGGTTTGAAATCTGTGTTAAGTCATGATTTATGTCAGCTGAGAATTTGGGCCTGTCCAGAAGAGAAAAGGGTGGGCTTCACTTAAAGATATATGGAATTAGTAAATCAGATCGGAAACTAACATTGAAAAAAGACGGATGCTTACCTTGACCTGGATTATTGAGATAATTGCCACAATACTTGGTTTCCCCATTCTGTGGTGACCAGGCAAGGAGTCTCACTGTCAGACCAGAACAATGTTTCTACTATTACCTCCTATGCCCCACGGCCTCGGTTGGGTTCACATCAAAACGTAAAGGTTAATTCTGTTAAGAAACCACCCAGGTGAGACTTTCAGATGCAAATTCATGCCCAGACGCACCGAAGGTCCTCACACTTTATGGATTACTGATTCTGTGATGCATTACAACCCTTTAAAAAATCAGGTTTCTCTAAAGTGTTATAAATACATTTATTGGAAAAAAAAATTGTCTCACATCATTGAGTTGCTGAGGCTGGTTACAATCCTGGCTGATATGCCCACCACAGCCTGAAGACCACCCAGCCCTACTTCTGACTGTGGCCACTCGAGGGCCCCAGCTCTACTGACATACATCATGTCCTCTGCCAGAAGAACTCCGTCATAAACTGTGGCTTGCCTCTGCCATGAGTTAAGTCAGGACTGGAGAAAAATAAGGTTAAACTTGATTGCAAGCTTCAGGGAGGAATGACTGACATGACCCGCCCACTCCCCCCACGCCACGCCCACAGAATATGCTCAGTAGCTAATTACTGAGTGTTGAGTGAATGAATGTTTTCAAGCTCCGCCCTTGGAGTCAGAGACCAAAACACATTCTCCTTATCACCCTGCACCCTGTCACTTTCAATAAGTATACAATCGGCACATGCTAAGTGCCCTAAGTGCCTGGCACCATCCCATTGTCTGGCCAGCAGGTCAACTGGACTCTCCCTTGTGCCCCCCGCTCATCTGCTGGGTTGTAACACGCAAGCATCTAGATGCCACAGGGCATCCCACCTAGATTCCCCAGGCTTCCTGGGGCTCAAAAACATAGATTGTTTAAATGATTTTGACAGTCTTCTGATAAGTGATTTCACAACAGAATTAGTTCCCCTGAAATGATCTAATCCATTTAAAAAGTAGTCCTCCTTGTTGTATTTTCTCTAAAGAGCTAAAAATTGGAACTGTGACTGGGTATGGCGGCTCACGCCTGTAATCCCAGCACTTTGGGAGGCCAAGGTGGGCGGATCACCTGAGGTCAAGAGTTGGAGACCAGCCTGGCTAACATGGCGAAACCCCATCTCTGCTAAAAATACAAAAATTAGCTGGGCCTGGTGGTGCATGCCTGTAGTCCCAGCTACTAGGGAGGCTGACGGGAGAATCTCTTGAAGCCAGGAGGCGGAGGTTGCAGTGACCCGAGATCACGCCACTGCACTCCAGCCTGGGAGACAGAGTGAGACCCTGTCTTGGACAAAATAAATAAATAAAAATGAAATGAAATAAAAGTTGGAATTGTTTTGTTTTTCCACAGGAAAACCTCTTTTTTGTGATGGAGTACCTCAACGGAGGGGACTTAATGTACCACATCCAAAGCTGCCACAAGTTCGACCTTTCCAGAGCGACGTAAGAGGCTTTAAAGGGTTTGGGAGTTTTCCACTGTTCTTGTCAGTTCTTGCTGGTTTTTTTTTCCTTTTTTCCCACTTGGCATGCCTGAATCCCAGGGCCAGGTGAACCCTTGGGAATACATCGAGCAAGGCGACAGTTTTCCCAGGTTGTGAAACTGAAATTCGTGTCAGTTTGGTTTCATTTCTCTGTGATTTAAAACTAACTACTTAGTTTCTTAAGGAACCATCCCGATTCATCAGGCTTCTAACTAACCTGAGCACAGAAGCAAATATGTAACCTTTGGAAAGGAAGCAGTGAAATGGACTGCAGACCTCAAGGGTGGTCCCCAGGGATGGAGCTTGTAGCTGAGGCATCTTATGGAAAGCCTGATGTGGAGGCATAAAGCTTTAGGGAGCAGGAAGAGGCACTTAGTCCATCTGAGAACAAAGCTTCTCCTTCCTAGTGCCGGCAGCCTGAGACACCTGGAGACGGGGCAGGCTGTGTGTACCTGGTGGGACTGCACCTGCATCCACAGTTCTCACCACCACTCCTGCCCATGCTGTTCCCTTTGGGTCCCACTTCCTGCTCCCCATGACATGCAAGTAAAAGAAAGCTCTGCCACTGGGCTCCTTGGAAAATGATGAGTACATGCTAGCTTCCTTTGCTCAGCGCTCAATAATCCCTCCCTCCCATCTGCATGAACACTTTGAGTGGTTTAGGTTGAAGTGGGTTGAGAAATGGATTTGGTCCGCCAGCTTCTTAAAATCCCTGGCTGGAATGGCTGTTTATCACATCTAGTGGGTAGCACTCTGCTGAGATCATTGCTCTGGGAAACCTCAGCAATGCACCCAGAGGTAATTTTACTGGATTTCTGCAGCAGAGAAATCATCGGGCATTTTTCATGCCGGAAAGAATTCACTTAGTCCACTGTCGTCTCCAGCCAGCCCGGACCCACGCTATCCATCCTGTCCTAAATGCCTTCCAGGAAGGAGAATTTTGCATTCTTCCACAAGATCCAGCAAGCTTCCCTTCCAGGAAGCTATCTCTTATATCCGACCTTAATCCCACCAGTGATGGGGTAAACTCATTTCCTTTAACCTTGTCACCATTGAAGATGAAGTGTAACTTATCTTGCATCTGCTAATATCCTCTTTTCCACCTCATGGGCTGTAAGTGTTGCCCAGGCTAAAGGTTCTCAGTACGAAAATAAACCAGCTAGTTCTATTCAGAATGGTGCATACAGGTCTATGGGTGCCAACCAGAGTTTAAAACAAAGGGAGAAATTATTTGCCTATTATCTATACTATTACTTTTTTTTTTTTTTTTGAGTCAGAGTCTTGCTCTGTCGTCCATGCTGGAGTGCAGTGGTGTGATCTCAGCTCACTGCAACCTCTGCCTCCCAGGTTCAAGTGATTATCAAGCCTCAGCTTCCTGAGTAGATGGGGCTACAGGCGCCCAACACCATGCCCTGCTAATTTTTGTATTTTTACTAGAGATGGTGTTTCACCATGTTGCCCATGCTGGTCTTGAACTCCTGACTTCAAGTGATCCACCTGCTTGGGCCTCCCAAAGTGCTAGGATTACAGGCGTGAGCCACCGTACCTGGCCTATACTATTACTTTTAATGTCTGTGTATGTTTTATTAGCAATAGCAAAAACAACAAAAAAAATGACAATGTGAGCATTATTGTTTAAAATATAAGAACAAGTACTAGATACAGGCAGGACTCACTTAAGATGCCAGCTCTGTTTTATGCTGTTAGGACTGAGGCTGGAGGTGTCTGAGCCTCTACTTTCTTATGTGTAGAATGAATGGACAACATCTTCCTTGTTAGGATTAAACAGAGTTATGTGTGTATGCCATTTAGCCATACACAGCATGTCAGAAAAAGGTCAGTCTGGGTTTGGGATTTTATTTCGTTCCATGACAACATTCATGTTGAACCTTGGTTCTCCTTCCCCCAGGTTTTATGCTGCTGAAATCATTCTTGGTCTGCAGTTCCTTCATTCCAAAGGAATAGTCTACAGGTAAATTTTGCTTTGTGGAAACAAATGCTAAGATATCGGCTTTCCTGGCTCAGTTAATTTAATCATTGCACCGAGTGCTGTGAGACAGCCCATGTGATTTCCTGGGAGTAAGCTCCACACATAGGTCTGCTGCCCACAATGATTACATGGATGATGACTTACAACCAAGGAAGACATTCCAGTCTCAACAGCAGGAAAGTGCTGAGCTCATTCTGTCCTTTATGCTGGTTCTCACTTGAATTCCTTCTTTCACCTTCCTTTTCCCATTTTCACTGTCCTGTTTTCTCTTTCTTATCATACCTTACGGTTTCTTTCTCTTTTGTCCCCTTCATACCTCTTATTTTTGCTTGTCTTTGCTTTGAGCCACCTAGAAATGCTTATGGAATTTTCTTCTTCTCTGCTGTATGACATCATTTCACGTTCTTCTGTCCAAGCTCTTAGATTGACACTATTGTATCTCAATCTCCTCACTTCTTTTCTCAAAATGTAGTTGGCACTTATTTAACATACAAACCTTTACAAGCTTACTGTCAGATTTCCAACTCACTGCAGATTAGGAGGAAAAATAGAAAGGAAAAAAAAGAAAGGATCTAGTGAGGAGGATGGCTGAGCTGCTGGAGAGCAGATAATTAGTATTGAAGCTTTGGTGCTTACAGAGTGTAGAATTCACTTAACAAGGAAGGATCTCTCCATTTTCTGAGGGTGCAGTCAAGTGAGGGTTGCCCTATTTGGAGTCACACAACTAAAGGCTTAGAGGAGGTTTGAGAAGTAAGTATTCTTAAGCAGCCTCTTTGAATGTAATTTTTTTTGGTCTATCTACAAAATCATAGATTAAGAATCTGTTTTATAATTTTTTAATCTTCAGGAAATTGAGAAATACTCACCAGAATATTATTTTAAAACTCTTAGCAGAATTTTTTTAAATTTTTCTTTATATGTGTAAGGCCTGCAATGTATCTAAAATATTTTTGTACCTAGGCACTGACTAAATTGTGTGGGGTGGATGGATAGATGGATGGATGGATGATGGATGAGTGAACAGATGGTTGGATGAATGGATGAACAGATATTTGGATGGATGGATGGGTGTGGATGGTTGAATGGATGGACAAATGATGGATGAATGATGAATGGATGAACAGATGGTTGAATGGATGGATGAATGGATGGATGTGGATGGATGGATGGATGGATGGATGGATAAATGATGGATAAATGATGGATGAATGATGAGTAGATGAACAGATGGTTGGATGGATGGATGAATGGATGTACCTGGATGGATGGATGGATAAATGATGGATGGATGAGGAATGGATGAACAGATGGGTGGATGGATGATGTATGGATGATGGATGGATGGACAACGGATGGATGAACAGATGGTTGGACGGATGGATGGATGGGTATGGATGGATGGGTGATGGGTAAATTGAACAGATGGTTGGATGGATGGATGGGATGGATGGATGGATGGTGATGGATGGGTGGGGAGATAAATAAATGAAAGGGGCTGGGCACAGTGGCTCACACCTGCAAATCCCAGCACTTTGGGAGGCCAAGGCAGATGGATCACCTGGGGTTAGGAGTTGGAAACCAGCCTGGCCGACATGACAAATCCTGTCTCTACTAAAAATACAAAAATTAGCTGGGTGTAGTGGCCCTTGCCTGTAATCCCAGCTACTTTAGAAGCTGAGGCACAAGAATCACTTGAACCTGTTAGGCGGAGGTTGCAGTGAGCTGAGATCACACCATTGCACTCCAGCCTGGGCAACAGAGCAACAGTCCATCTCAAAAAATTTAAAAAGTTAAAAAAAAAAAAGGGGAAGTAGGAATAAAAATTAGGAGGGACTGGAGAGAGAGAGAGACAGAGATCTTAGACTGGAAGGGACCCCGTGAAACCTAAACCCACATGCCTCGGGGCATTTTATTTCCCTGTGTCACAAAGCTTCTTTCTATCATGTCACCATGTAAATTATTAACACTCAGAACAAAAAAAAAAAAGCAATAGATGTCCATAAGTAGCTTTACTATCACAACAAATTGTACCCATTTTCGAGTCTTACCCTGCCCATGCATGGAAGTTATGTTCTTTAAGCCTTCTTAGGCACCAACAAGAAAAAAAAATGAGTTTATTTTTTGTGCTCATTAGGTTGCAGGAGACCCTTGAAAGTCATCATCAAATAGTTATAACTGAGGATAGGTCACCAGACAAGTATGCTGGCTTTAAAACTGGCCTGCTGCATAATAAGAAATAAGTTGCCTTATAATAAGTTGAATAGTAAGAAATTATTCAACTGTCTGTGTGTAATTTGACTCACCTAAACTTTTAATTTGGCAACTGAATTAACAAAAGGATTCAATTCATTTCTTTCTTTTGACCTCATAGGATAATAATTTTCTGAATTTGTTCACAAAACTGATACATTAGTTTTGAAGGGCTGCCATAAGAAATTACCCCAAATTTGGTGGCTTATTCTGGAAGCTAGACATTTGGAAGCAAGATGTGGGCAGGGCCATGCCCCCACCAAGCCCTCGATTTACCAGCCTCTGGTGGCTGCAGGCATTCCTTGGCTTGTGGCTGCATCACCCAGTCTCTGCCTCTGTCTTCCCATGGCCTTCTCTTGCCCCCATCTGTCTTTTCTAAGAACACTTGATGGATTTAGGGCCCACCTCGATAATCAAGGATAATCTCACCTTGATATCTTTAACTTAATTACATCTTTAACTTAATTACATTTGGAAAAAAAGACCCTTTTTCCAAATAAGGTCACATCTACAAGGTTCTGGGGGTTCTGACATGAACATACCTGGACATATCTTCTGGGGGCCACCATTCCACCCATACAGCTGATATCACAGACCATGTGTGCTCTGGATGTGCAGGTCTTTGTCAAGCATGGCAGTGGGTACTAAACATAGAGAAGTCCCAACCCCCAGAAACCTGATGAGCCACTTTCTGGGGTTTCTTCAGAGGTAGAATGGATTGATGATGAATGGATGAACAGATGAAAAGACACAAGCTGTACATTCAAAAAATGTCCAAGTGAATGTTATTCCAATTAAAAGTGCAAGAGCTGAAAGGAAAAAATATATCACCAGACTTAAGTAGGGGAGATGGCAAACAAAAATTCTTCTGTGAAGGTAGACTTTTTAGAGTGGAAGAGGCTTTGCAGATGGAAGAAGTGACTCCAGGAAAGGCACAGCAATAGGAAAATGGAGGAATATTCAACAGGTGCATCCAGCTTCAGGGGCAAGGCTGCTGTTGGTCGATGAAAAGCATGAGATGTGGAGAAGCAGGTGTGGTGGCGTCACTCACCATCTGCCAGAGGAACCACAAAATCGACGGCATCTTCAAAGATGATGTAAGCCCTGGTTTGGGTCAAATGTAAAACCACAGAGCCGGAAAGTATGCAGATGTGGAAAGAAGAATCTAGAACTTCCAATCTTAGAGTATTAGAACTAAGAAGAACCTTAAGATTATATTTTATTGACAATAAAACTGGGCCCAACCCATGTGTTTGAAGCCACTTTCAATGCTTTCACGTGATTCTCATTGGACGTTACAGGACCCCATGAGACAAGCAAGGCAAGTGTCATGGTCCCTGTTCCTTGGATGAGTCTTGGAGGCTGCCAGAGGGGAAATGGTGAGGCGGAGCCAGCCGGCCGTAATGCTGGGATTGGGAAGCCAACTGTGATGCCCACTCCACCTCTTCCAAATAGAAAAGCTTTGCCTCCGTTAACCTCATGATGGAATGAAAGGGTGCCCCTGGATGTTCTCTTCTGCTTGATGCCATGATGGCCTGCTTCTCCTCTGACAGATGAAAGCTTGCAGAGACATGCACAGGCTGTGGACTCTGAAGTTCTCCCCTGGGTCCTGATGCCCCATAGGGTGTAAGCATGACATGCCTCAGAATACCCTGGGCCTCTGGGTTCTCTGCCCTCTCCAGCTGGCTCCAGGGGTCCTCACTGGTCTTCCTTGGCACTCCTTCCTCACCCCCATGGGGGGCTGGCTTCACATGGCAGCCTTTCAGAACCTTTCCCATATTGACCTAGATCCCTCAGAGCTGGCCAGGCGCAGTGGCTCACGCCTATAATCCCAGCATTTTGAGTCTGAGGCAGAAGGATTGCTTAATGTCAGGAGTTCATGACCAGCCTTGGCAACATAGTGAGACCTTGTCTCTACAAAAAATTTTAAAAATTAGCCAGGCATGGCGATGGCACACATGTGGTCAAGAGTCTGAGGTGGGAGGACTGCTTGCTCAAGAGGTTGAGGCTGCAGTGAACTGACATCATGCCACTGCACTCCAGCCTGGATGACAGGGAAAGACCTCGTCTCAGGGGAAAAAAAAAAACCTGATATCAAGGGAAGCACCTGAATTATCTTTAAAAAATCAATTTCACAAGTACAGAATGAGAAGAAACTGGGATAATGGCACTTCATAAAGGAAAGCAGAAAAACACCTGAAGGTTTTAGTTTACAATAAACTCAATATTGGGCATTACTGTGATGAAACTATGAAAAATATGGTGCAGGATCTTAGTCCACCGTGGCAAAAGGCAAGAGGATGGTAATGGAGCTCTGGGTGCCGCTGTAACCTGCACCAATCAGATTGTCTCTCTGGAGGATTCTGGCTTCATTCTGAGCCAAGTCAGTCGAGAAGAAAACGGACAAATTCAAGATATTTGGAAGGTAGAGGCCAGAATGTTTGCCCTTCATCCAGTTTCCCCCAGTGGCCACATCTCATGCAGCTGTGGTACAAGGTCAAAAGGGTCTGAAAACCACATCATGAGGAGCGAAGTCCCTGATCTTGGTGAGAGAAGAGAAAACTTGATGTCATTTTTTTCAAATATTTGGGGTGTCACATATGGTAACAATAGAAAGCCCCCTTGGACCAATAGGTGACATCACATGGAAGCAAAGTTCGGTTAATTGTTTTTTAAAAAATATTATCAGTTACATTTCCCTAAGAATGGAATGGGTTCTTTTAAGAGGATACTAGTTCTCCAAGGAAACAGAAGTTTGTTGGCATGACATTCTGGCGTTGGATGGATTCCGGTTCTCAAGGGGTTCAGTATTAGTTAGGAACAAACTTCATCAACTGGACTTGGAATTAGGTGCAGTATAATTCATTCACAAATATGTAGAAAATGGCATACAGTAAGTATATTTTTTAGGTTTTCCTCCTTCGTCATTACCCTCAGGAAAGTCCTGGGATCAAGGGTCTCCAATGGGTATGGGTGCTCTGTCCTCCTTATACTGAGCTGCACCCCTTGGTAAATCAGAGAAAGAATCCATAGCAGCCAGCGTGCCCTTGCAGAATCTGCTTTGTCTACACCCCACTTGGTGTGCAAGTGGATAGATACATAAGCGCCTCTCGTGAGCCCCTCTCAGGCTGCAATGAGACAAACTCCCTCGCCTCCTATGGAATTTTATGTTAACCAAATTATATTGATTAATGTGAGATTTGCTTCACTTTTGTTTTTCAGGGACCTGAAGCTAGATAACATCCTGTTAGACAAAGATGGACATATCAAGATCGCGGATTTTGGAATGTGCAAGGAGAACATGTTAGGAGATGCCAAGACGAATACCTTCTGTGGGACACCTGACTACATCGCCCCAGAGGTAGGAATGCAGTGACAGGCTGCTCCCACCTCACCATGCCCTGGCCACATGCCATTGCTTCTTTAGCCCCTGAAAATCAGAAGGTTTTAAATATCTTCATTCAAGATTTGTACCTGTTTTCTTAAGTATCTCATAAACGCCACCATGCATGTGGGTTTCTATTATTATTTTGTGGGGAGCGCTACTTTTACAAATCACATCTCTCCAAGGCTTGCAGAGTTTGGCATTTCCTTTCCCCCAGCCTTAAAACATATTCACTCTGCTCAGACCTACCAGAAGGAACAGCTAGTGAAGAGCCAGGTGGAGCAAGCGTCCACCCAAGTCAAGTGGTGAAACTGTGGGGTCAGAAGACCTGGACTGAGTTTCTAAGCCACCACTGATGTAAGCACAGAGTGATTGCCAAAGTCTCACTGACTTCCATTTCCTCTTCTGTAAAATGGGTATAATGCTGATGTCATTGTGTTATTGTGAGCATTAGATGAGAAAGAGTGTGAAAGTTAAAACTCACCCCTGCCCCCATTAAAAAATAAGAAGAAGACACTGCTGTCACATTCTGGACACACAAAGAAGTGACATTTGCACAGAAGGCATCCATCAATTCAACTAAACCCACCTCCCCCCTTTTCACAGAATCCTCCCCAGCTGCCCACCCAGGGAGATTAGTGACACCCCTCCCACTTGGTCTTTCCCATGGCACAGCACTTGTTCTGGTTGCTTTTTCATCTTCAAATCTCCCTGCATGACTGGATATTTGCTCTGCAGTCATGGACAGATTCATATTCACTTTTTAAAAATTTTCATTTCGAAATAATTGTAGATTCACAGGAATTTGCAAAACATAGTCCAGAAATATCTCCCAACTGTGCCCTTCATCCAGTTTCCCCCAGTGGTCACATCTCATGTAGCTGCAGTACAATGTCAAAGCCAGGAAACTGATGTCCATCCAAAGTGTACATGGTGCTATGCCATCTTCTCTCATGGGTAGATTTGTGTGATCTTGTTCACTTTTACATCTAAGGACCTAGTGCAGGTGTTGGCATATTAAGGTGCTAATAGATACCTTCTAGAAGAGTAAATGGATGAACTAACTAATAAACGTGTGATTGGAGATGGTTGTTTGATAAAGACTCTGGCAGACCTCTGATTTCCTGGGTAAAATTATTCAGCAGCAAGTTCCTGTCATTGCCAAAGGAGTTGTGGCCATCTGAGTCCTAGAACTATGTAGCTTTGCCCTGTGGTTGGGTGATATGTAATTTGAATTTAGCCTTGGCTTCTATTCCATGAGGAATGATGTCTTTTAGCTTACATGGCATTGTTGAACTCACAGAGCGAGGCTTATTGATTAAATAACTTTCTGATCGTAGAAATCTATGTTTCATTCAGTTTGGCACAGATACAGGTTTTGATGCTATAAACCATTTTCATTTGAAGTGAAACCAAAGCTCATCAAAGCACGAGTGATGGGGACTTAAGAGGACGGACTCAACTCAATTACTGAATTCCCCTTTGTAACAATTCTGAAATATGCCCAAATGCACTCTGCTCAGACCACCCTCACTGCCATCCCCAGCAGCAGTCTCCTTTGTCACTCCCTCAGCCTCACCTGAGCCATCTCAATTTCTTTCCTCTTCACCTTGCAACACCTTGGTGTGGCTGCCTTACTCTGATGTATTCCTGTCTACAGATTTTGGGTGCCGGGTCTTTTCCACGGCAAACCTTCCTTCCCGATTTCCATCTGCTTCTTGCAGAATCCGGCTTCCACAGCTTGCTTCTCTCTGCAGCTTCACTCCCTTCTTTTCTTTTACGTGTGCTTGTCTCCACGTGATTCAGTGCTTGGTCCTCTTCTCTTCTTACTCTACATCCTCCACGAGCAACTTCATTGATGACTGTGGTCTTCGCTGTAGAGTCAATATGGCCCACCTGCACTTCTTCCTGCTGCAGACACTACGTCCACTTTCCTGCTTGAGACCTCCAAGTAAATGCATGAGTCCTTCAAAGACAGCAGGTCCAAAACTCTCTCTGTTGAACTTGCTCCCTACTTCACTCTTTCCTTTTCTTTCTTGGTGAATTACATGTCATCCATCCAGTCTTCTAGAGAGAAAACTAGGAATTATACAAATTTCCCCTTTCTTTCTTACCCTTCAAATCCACCCAAACACCAACACCTTCTATAATTGGACCCTCTCATGTCCATTCACTGCCCTAAACTTGTGACTGAATTCAGACTCTCCCTTGATTCCTTCTCCAAGCTCAAACAAATCCCCTTGATCCAGCTCCGCCCAGATCTCCAGGTCCTCTCGCCCTTACTGCTGTTACCCTAGTGCAGAACATGAGCATCTCTTGCCTGGCTCTTGGTGACACCCTTCCATCTGCTTTCCTCCCTTATCATCCATCACCAGGGCATGCTCTTTACATATCTTCATGCCTTTTGATCTGTTAGAAAAGCATCCCCAAGATCTGTCTATTTATATATGAATCATATACATTGTCACCAGCTAAGATAGACTGTGTGTTATCAATGCCTAAAAAGGAATATGATCAGGTTATACTAACAATAATATATAGTTTAAAATAACTAAATTGCATTAATTTATTTATTATTATTATACTTTAAGTTTTAGGGTACATGTGCATAATGTGCAGGTTAGTTACATATCTATACATGTGCCATGCTGGTGTGCTGCACCCATTAACTCGTCATTTAGCATTAGGTATATCTCCTAATGCTATCCCTCCCCGCTCCCCCCACCCCACAACAGTCCCCAGAGTGTGATGTTCCCCTTCCTGTGTCCATGTGTTCTCATTGTTCAATTCCCATCTATGAGTGAGAACATGCGGTGTTTGGTTTTTTGTCCTTGCGATAGTTTACTGAGAATGATGATTTCCAGTTTCATCCATGTCCCTACAAAGGACATGAACTCATCATTTTTTTATGGCTGCATAGTATTCCATGGTGTATATGTGCCACATTTTCTTAATCCAGTCTATCATTTTTGGACATTTGGGTTGGTTCCAAGTCTTTGCTATTGTGAATAGTGCCACAACAAACAGATGTGTGCATGTGTCTTTATAGCAGCATGATTTCTAGTCCTTTGGGTATATACCCAGTAATGGGATGGCTGGGTCAAATGGTATTTCTAGTTCTAGATCCCTGAGGAATCGCCACACTGACTTCCACAATGGTTGAACTAGTTGGCAGTCCCACCAACAGTGTAAAAGTGTTCCTATTTCTCCACATCCTCTCCAGCATCTGTTGTTTCCTGACTTTTTAATGATTGCCATTCTAACTGGTGTGAGATGGTATCTCATTGTGGTTTTGAATTGCATTTCTCTGATGGCCAGTGATGATGAGCATTTTTTCATGTGTCTTTTGGCTGCATAAATGTCTTCTTTTGAGAAGTGTCTGTTCATATCCTTCGCCCACTTTTTGATGGGGTTGTTTTTTTCTTGTAAATTTGTTTGAGTTCATTGTAGATTCTGGATATTAGCCCTTTGTCAGATGAGTAGGTTGCGAAAATTTTCTCCCATTTTGTAGGTTGCCTGTTCACTCTGATGGTAGTTTCTTTTGCTGTGCAGAAGCTCTTTAGTTGAATTAGATCCCATTTGTCAATTTTGGCTTTTGTTGCCATTGCTTTTGGTATTTTAGACATGAAGTCCTTGCCCATGCCTATGTCCTGAATGGTAATGCCTAGGTTTTCTTCTAGGGTTTTTATGGTTTTAGGTCTAACATTTAAGTCTTTAATCCATCTTGAATTAATTTTTGTATAAGGTGTAAGGAAGGGATCCAGTTTCAGCTTTCTCCATATGGCTAGCCAGTTTTCCCAGCACCATTTATTAAATAGGGAATCCTTTCCCCATTGCTTGTTTTTCTCAGGTTTGTCAAAGATCAGATAGTTGTAGATAAGTGGCATTATTTCTGAGGGCTCTGTTCTGTTCCATTGATCTATATCTCTGTTTTGGTACCAGTACCATGCTGTTTTGGTTACTGTAGCCTTGTAGTATAGTTTGAAGTCAGGTAGCGTGATGCTTCCAGCTTTGTTCTTTTGGC
The DNA here is from genome assembly GCF_000001405.40 of Homo sapiens. Taxonomy (NCBI): domain Eukaryota; kingdom Metazoa; phylum Chordata; class Mammalia; order Primates; family Hominidae; genus Homo; species Homo sapiens. Next base: position 6,452,625 of record NC_000010.11, on the reverse strand, counting down.
TTAGGATTGACTTGGTGATGCGGGTTCTTTTTTGGTTCCATATGAACTTTGAAGTAGTTTTTTCCAATTCTGTGAAGAAAGTCATTGGTAGCTTGATGGGGATGGCATTGAATCTATAAATTACCTTGGGCAGTATGGCCATTTTCACGATATTGATTCTTCCTACCCATGAGCATGGAATGTTCTTCCATTGGTTTGTATCCTCTTTTATATCATTGAGCAGTGGTTTGTAGTTCTCCTTGAAGAGGTCCTTCATGTCCCTTGTAAGTTGGATTCCTAGGTATTTTATTCTCTTTGAAGCAATCGTGAATGGGAGTTCACTCAAGATTTGGCTCTCTGTCTGTTATTGGTGTCTAAGAATGCTTGTGATTTTTGTACATTGATTTTGTATGCTGAGACTTTGCTGAAGTTGCTTATCAGCTTAAGGAGATTTTGGGCTGAGACAATGGGGTTTTCTAGATATACAATCATGTCATCTGCAAACAGGACAATTTGACTTCCTCTTTTCCTAATTGAATACCCTTTATTTCCTTCTCCTGCCTAATTGCCCTGGCCAGAACTTCCAACACTATGTTGAATAGGAGTGGTGAGAGAGGGCATCCCTGTCTTGTGCCAGTTTTCAAAGGGAATGCTTCCAGTTTTTGCCCATTCCGTATGATATTGGCTGTGGGTTTGTCATAGATAGCTCTTATGATTTTGAGATACATCCCATCAATACTTAATTTATTGAGAGTTTTTAGCATGAAGGGTTGTTGAATTTTGTCAAAGGCCTTTTCTGCATCTATTGAGTAATCATGTGGTTTTTGTCTTTGGCTCTGTTTATATGCTGGATTACATTTATTGATTTGCATATATTGAACCAGCCTTGCATCCCAGGGATGAAGCCCATTTGATCATGGTGGATAAGCTTTTTAATGTGCTGCTGGATTCGGTTTGCCAGTATTTTATTGAGGATTTTTGCATCAATGTTCATCAAGGATATTGGTCTAAAATTCTCTTTTTTGGTTGTGTCTCTGCCTGGCTTTGGTATCAGGATGATGCTGGCCTCATCAAATGAGTTAAGGAGGATTCCCTTTTTTTCTATTTAGTGGAATAGTTTCAGAAGGAATGGTACCAGTTCCTCCTTGTACCTCTGGTAGAATTCGGCTGTGGATCCATCTGGTCCTAGACTCTTTTTGGTTGGTAAGCTATTGATTATTGCCACAATTTCAGATCCTGTTATTGGTCTATTCAGAGATTCAACTTCTTCCTGGTTTAGTCTTGGGAGAGTGTATATGTCGAGGAATTTATCCGTTTCTTCTAGATTTTCTAGTTTATTTGTGTAGAGGTGTTTGTAGTATTCTCTGATGGTAGTTTGTATTTCTGTGGGATCAGTGGTGATATCCCCTTTATCATTTTTTATTGTGTTTATATGATTCTTCTCTCTTTTTTTCTTTATTAGTCTTGCTAGCGGTCTATCAATTTTGTTGATCCTTTCAAAAAACCAGCTCCTGGATTCATTAATTTTTTGAAGGGTTTTTTGTGTCTCTATTTCCTTCAGTTCTGCTCTGATTTTAGTTATTTCTTGCCTTCTGCTAGCTTTTGAATGTGTTTGCTCTTGCTTTTCTAGTTCTTTTAATTGTGATGTTAGGGTGTCAGTTTTGGATTTTTCCTGCTTTCTCTTGTGGGCATTTAGTGCTATAAATTTCCCTCTACACACTGCTTTGAATGTGTCCCAGAGATTCTGGTATGTTGTGTCTTTGTTCTCATTGATTTCAAAGAACATCTTTATTTCTGCCTTCATTTCGTTATGTACCCAGTAGTCATTCAGGAGCAGATTGTTCAGTTTCCACACAGTTGAGCAGTTTTGAGTGAGTTTCTTAATCCTGAGTTCTAGTTTGATTGCACTGTGGTCTGAGAGACAGTTTGTTATAATTTCTGTTCTTTTACATTTGCTGAGGAGAGCTTTACTTCCAACTATGTGGTCAATTTTGGAATAGGTGTGGTGCTGAAAAAAATGTATATTCTGTTGCTTTGGGGTGGAGAATTCTGTAGATGTCTATTAGGTCTGCTTGGTGCAGAGCTGAGTTCAATTCCTGGGTATCCTTGTTAACTTTCTGTCTCATTGATCTGTCTAATGTTGACAGTGGGGTGTTAAAAGTCTCCCATTATTATTGTGTGGGAGTCTAAGTCTCTTTATAGGTCACTCAGGACTTGCTTTATGAATCTGGGTGCTCCTGTATTGGATGCATATATATTTAGGATAGTTAGCTCTTCTTGTTGAATTGATCCCTTTACCATTATGTAATGGCCTTGTCTCTTTTGATCTTTGTTGGTTTAAAGTCTGTTTTATCAGAGACTAGGATTGCAACCCCTGCCTTTTTTTGTTTTCCATTTGCTTGGTAGATCTTCCTCCATCCTTTTATTTTGAGCCTATGTGTGTCTCTGCACATGAGATGGGTTTCCTGAATACAGCACACTGATGGGTCTTGACTCTTTATCCAATTTGCCAGTCTGTGTCTTTTAATTGGAGCATTTAGTCCATTTACATTTAAAGTTAATATTGTTATGTGTGAATTTGATCCTGTCATTATGATGTTAGCTGGTTATTTTGCTCGTTAGTTGATGCAGTTTCTTCCTAGTCTTGATGGTCTTTACATTTTGGCATGATTTTGCAGCAGCTGGTACCAGTTGTGCCTTTCCATGTTTAGTGCTTCCTTCAGGAGCTCTTTTAGGGCAGGCCTGGTGGTGACAAAATCCCTCAGCATTTTCTTGTCTGTAAAGTATTTTATTTCTCCTTCACTTATGAAGCTTAGTTTGGCTGGATATGAAATTGTGGGTTGAAAATTCTTTTCTTTAAGAATGTTGAATATTGGTCCCCACTGTCTTCTGGCTTGTAGAGTTTCTGCCGAGAGATCAGCTGTTAGTCTGACGGGCTTCCCTTTGTGGGTAACCCGACCTTTCTCTCTGGCTGCCCTTAACATTTTTTCCTTCATTTCAACTTTGGTGAATCTGACAATTATGTGTCTTGGAGTCGCTCTTCTCGAGGAGTATCTTTGTGGCGTTCTCTGTATTTCCTGAATCTGAATGTTGGCCTGCCTTGCTAGATTGGGGAAGTTCTCCTGGATAATATCCTGCAGAGTGTTTTCCAACTTGGTTCCATTCTCCCTGTCACTTTCAGGTACACCAATCAGACACAGATTTGGTCTTTTCACATAGTCCCATATTTCTTGGAGGCTTTGTTCGTTTCTTTTTATTCTTTTTTCTCTAAACTTCCCTTCTCACTTCATTTCATTCATTTCATCTTCCATCACTGATACTCTTTCTTCCAGTTGATCGCATCAGCTCCTGAGGCTTCTGCATTCTTCATGTAGTTCTCGAGCCTTGGCTTTCAGCTCCATCAGCTCCTTTAAGCACTTCTCTCTATTGCTTATTCTAGTTATACATTCGTCTAAATTTTTTTCAAAGTTTTCAACTTCTTTGCCTTTGGTTTGAATTTCCTCCTGTAGCTCGGAGTAGTTTGATCATCTGAAGCCTTCTTCTCTCAACTCGTCAAAGTCATTCTCCATCCAGCTTTGTTCCGTTGCTGGTGAGGAACTGCGTTCCTTTGGAGGAGGAGAGGCACTCTGCTTTTTAGAGTTTCCAGTTTTTCTGCTCTGTTTTTTCCCCATCTTTGTGGTTTTATCTACTTTTGGTCTTTGATGATGGTGATGTACAGATGGGTTTTTGGTGTGGATGTCCTTTCTGTTTGTTAGTTTTCCTTCTAACAAACAGGACCCTCAGCTGCAGGTCTGTTGGAGTTTGCTAGAGGTCCACTCCAGACCCTGTTTGCCTGGGTATCAGCAGCGGTGTCTGCAGAACTATATTTATTAATACTACAAAAATATCTATGCTTCATCAAAATAATGAGATTAAATGACTTTTTAAAAATCTTGGTTTTGGCCAGGTGCAGTGGCTCACACCTGTAATCCCAGCACTTTGGTAGGCTGAGGCGGGTGGATCATGAGGTCAGGAGATCAAGACCATAGTGGCTAACACGGTGAAACCCCGTCTCTACTAAAATATAAAAAATTAGCTGGGTGTGGTGGCACGTACCTGTAATCCCAGCTGCTCAGGAGGCTGAGGCAGGGCAATTGCCTGAACCCGGGAGGCGGAGGTTGCAGTGAGCCGAGATCGTGCCACTGCACTCCAGCTTGGTGACAGAGTGAGACTCTGACTCAAAAAAAAAAAATTAAGTGCTACCTTCCCTGGCCAGGCCACACTGTGCCTCTCTGCCATTGCACATCCTTGGTCTGTGACCCTCCCCTCAAACAGTCACCTTCTCCCTAAAGTTGCCACCGGCTTTAGGAATCACCTGCTGTTCCCTTCCCTGTGCAACCACAGCACCTCTACATCCACCTGACCAATCCATTGAGCTTCTCCCCATCAGGGACCATGGCTTATCCACTCACAGGCTGGAGCAGCAGCCCTCAGCTCCTTCCTGAATAAACGACCACACAAAGTCAAACACCCTAAAAGTTCATCTCTAAGTGTATACTGAATTCCCCACCTCTGGGCGTCTTTTGTTAAATAACCCTCCCCAGCTTCCCCCTACTCCACCTGGAAAAATCCCACCCCTGGTCGGAGGCTGCCCTCCCACCATCCACTTGGTGAAGTTTTCTTTCACCTCACTCAGTTCCCCATTGCCCCTTTTGCCCTCAAAAACCAAACAAAACTGGAGCTGTGTTCTCCCTCCTCAGTGCCTTAGAGAAATGTTAGCCTCTCTTGTGTGATTCTAAGTCGATGCTGCCCTGCAGGGTCTTTATGAGTGTTCCGCTGCTGTCTCACCTACAAACGTGTCTGTAAGCACCTTCAGGGAGGGGACTCTGTGGCCTGGGGAAGGCCGACTAGGTGAGGCAGAGAATTAAAACACAGGAACACACAACTGCTGGGACAGAGGCCATCTGGCAGGCACCCATCGTTCCTGTGAGGAGAACTCAAATCTCAGAAGCTCATGCATTTCGTAGCAGAGTCAGGAGCTACACATGAAAAACACACCTGTGCTCCCTCAACTGGGGATCGTCTCACTAGGCTGCACCTCCTGAGAGCTAAAGTGCGTCTCAAAAGCCCCACTGTTCCCCCTGTGTTCCTATAATAGGAGCAAAGAGAGGCTGATGTCTCTTTGGAGGTGCAAACTCATTTTGACAAAGAATAGGAAGGCAGTTAAACAGGGAAATATCGTACTTTTTTTTTTTTTTTTTGAGGTGGAGTCTTGCTCTGTTGCCCAGGCTGGAGTGCAGTGGCACAATCATGGCTCGCTGCAACCTCCGCCTCCCAGGTTCAGGCAATTCTCCTGCCTCAGCCTCCCGAGTAGCTGGGACTACAGGCGCGTGCCACCATGCCCGGCTAATTTATGTATTTTTAGTAGAGACAGGGTTTCACCATGTTGGCCAGGATGGTCTCGATCTCTTAACCTCATGATCCGCCCGCCTTGGCCTCCCAAAGTGCTGGGATTACAGGTGTGAGCCACTGCGCCCAGCCGGAAACATCATACTTTCTATGGCACACTAGACACTCAGTAAATCCAGATGGGATTGCAATGCATGGAAGCAGCTCCCTGGAGAAAGTCGGATTTCCCTGGAAACCACACTGGTATTGGCCCCAGGAGGTCACTGACTGCTGGGGCAGCACTCACCCAGTTGCACATCATGGTGGCAGAGCCCCGCCTGTCCAGACCTGACTTCCCAGCTTCTGAGGCTGAAGGAGAACAGATGAGGCTTGCTCTGGCGTCGTTCGGTGAAACCACTGTTCCTCTCTCGCTGCTTTCCCGGGTTTCCTTGTGCATTTTGAGCTGTGCATCTGATTCTTTGGGTCAAAGCAAGGACTGAAAAAGAGCAGAACACAAGAAGAGATCACAATGAGGCAAGGTCCCGGGGCTGAGAGAGAAAGGGGCCACCCTTGCTGGTGTTTCTCCACCACAGTCTCTTTAAAAATTGGGCATGGGCCGGGCATGGTGGCTCATGCCTATAATCCCAGGACTTTGGGAGGCGGAGGTAGGCGGATCACCTGAGGTCAGGAGTTCGAGACCAGCCTGGCCAACATGGTGAAACCCCGTCTCTACTAAAAATACAAAAATTAGCTGGATGTGGTGGCACACACCTGTAATCCCAGCTCCCCAGGAGGCTAAAGTAGGAGAATCGCTTGAACTTGGGAGGCGGAGGTTGCAGTGAGCTGAGATCGCGCCACTGCACTCCAGCCTGGCCAACATAAGCGAGACTCTGTCTCCAAAAAAAAAAAAAAAAAAAAAAAACTGAGCATAGTGTGACCATGACAGCTTGAGGTTTAAAACCAAGAGGCACATTATGCTATGGAAGGAACATCACGTGGTAAAATCCTGAAAGACCAGATTCAGAACATTGCTCTCAGCTCACTAACTAGGAGACTTTAAGTAAGACCTTTGGCCTTTCTAAGCCCAATCATCACCCCCTATAGGAGAGGGATAACTGTGCCTAGCTCAGGGGGGTTCTTATCAATAAAAGACATAACGTCTGCAAAACTCCTAACACATATCAGTATTCCTGAGGCGAACACTCTGCTGCACGTGTGAGTTTGCGTTTTACTTCTTCCTCCTAAGGTAAAACTGAAATTTTTTACCAACATCGCCAAGCTTTGAAGCCTTAATTTGCACCACAGCTGTCTCCTGTCCTTCCAAATTTTCTTTTTGTTTGTCCTGCCAAAACGAAGTTGTTTACAAAGATATGTGGTTCAGAGACGTTTCTGGTTGCTTTGACGCCGCCTTGTGGGCAAGTCTCGGAAATTGCATGTGTCCCTGGCCCAGCAAATTGAGCAAAGATTGTATTAGGTGCATCTTATATTTCCTTATCATTCTCCCTGGGTCTACCTTCAGATGATTCCTTAAGGCAAAGCCTATTTTTTCTAAATTATAAAGTAAACTTTAGCATGTAAATATCGAGGTAAGAGTAGTGGGTAGCATTTTTATATTGGAAATCAGTAACATTGCAAAATTCTGTTTGCAACTTTATTTTCAGAAACGGGGACAAGTGCATCATCAAAGCAGATATTTATCATAACATTTATAGTTGTCCCATAAGACAAATCATCTTGACTTTGCTACTTTTCACTGGATCTCACAAGAAGCTTATAAGAAGCGGGCCAGATATGATTCCCGTTTTTCACAAACAAGAAGGGTGAAAGGGTCCTCCCAAAACTACACAATAAGGGATTAAGCCAGAAGTAGAGCCTGTGACGTTTTACATGGCCAGAAAAACTCTTGTGCTGCTGTTGATATTGTTCTTCTGTTTGTTTAGCAAGTCTGCCTTAGAGAGACTTCACAGCACCCCTGGGCCTCACTTAGCACTGATCTGTCTCCCAGGAGTGGGCCCCGGGGTGGTGGAGGGTCAGGGATGGGGTTGCCGTGCACATCAGTCTGCTCCATCTAAAAAAGCTCACCGACATCAAAACATCTGGCTTTCCTAGAAAATACTGGAATGTCTGGAATTTTTTTTTTTTTTTTTTTTTTTTTTTTGACAGAGTCTTGCTCTGTCACCTAGGCTGGAGTGCAGAGGCGCGATCTTGGCTCACTACAGCCTCCACCTCCCGGGTTCAAGCGATTCTCCTGCCTCAGCCTCCCGAGTAGCTGGGATTACAGGCGTGCGCCACCACACCCAGCTAATTTCTGTGTTTTTAGTAGAGACGGGGTTTCGCCATGTTGGCCAGGCTGGTCTCAAACTCCTGACCTCGGGTGATCCACCCGCCTCAGCCTCCCAAAGGGCTGGGAGAATGGCTGGAATTGTGGTGTCATTTTCTTTTCAAGGCCATCAGTGCTGCAATTCTGCCATTCATTCCAAAGGCCCATTAGAGAAGGAAGAGAAAAATTCCATGTCATACGAGTAGCGCCAACAAAAAAATACCTTCTGCGTGCGTGTGTGTGTGTGTGTGTATTTATGTGTGTCTGTTCACAGATGCACCCAGCTAAGCCCAAACACATTACAAGGTAGAACAGATGTTCATCCCCAAGAGAGTCTGACTGTCTTGCTTTTAAGTTTAGTGCCTCAATCCTATTATTCCTTCTCCATTTTGTTTTGGCTAATAAAGCAACTTGCCCGCAACTCATCCTTGGAGCAGCAGTCATGAATTAACGAAGATTTTTTTTCCCTCTTTTCCATTAAAAAAAATTTTATGTGCCACTATTATGTCCTAGGGTTTTGTTTTTAATTGTGGGAAAATACACGTAACATGAAATTTACCATCTGAACTATTTTTGTGTACAGTTCAGTAATGTTAAAAATAGTGCCAGGTGCGGTTAATCCCAGCACTTTGGAGGCCGAGGTGGGTGGATCACTTGAGGTCAGGAGATCAAGACCAGCCTGATCAACATGTGAAACCCTGTCTCTACCAAAAATACAAAAATTATCTGGGCATGGTGGTATGCACCTGTAATCCCAGCTACTCGGGAGGCTGAGGCAGGAGAATTACTTGAACCCAGGAGGCAGAGGTTGCAGTGAGCCGAGATTGTGCCACTGCACTCCAGCCTGGGTGACAGAGCGAGACTCCATTTCAAAAATAAATAGATAAATAAAATAAAGTGTATTGTATAGTTGTGCAATCAATCTCCAGAAGGTTTTCATCTTGAAAAACCAAAACTCTGTCCCCATTAAATACCAGCTCCCTATTCCCCCTCCCCACAGCTCCTGGCAGCCACTATTCCACTTCCTGTCTCTAGAATTTAACTATTAGGTTGGTGCAGAAGTAGTTACGGTTTTTGTCACTGAAAGTAAGGGCAAAAACTTCTGTTAATACTTAAGGTACCTTATGTAAGTGGAATCATTCAGTATTTGTCTTTCCCTGCCTGGCTTACTTCACTTAGCATAATGTTATCAAGGTTCACTCACGTAGCATGTGACAGGTTTCCCTTCACCTTGAAGGCTGAATAATATTCCTCTGTGTGGAGGTACCACATTTTCTTCAACGCCTTCCCTATCCCTCCTCCCTACCCTCTGCCCAGACCCTGGCGACTGCCACTCTCAGCTTCTATGAGTTCAACGTGTTTACGTTTCACATATAAATGAGATCTTGCAGCATTTGTTTTTCTGTGCCTGGCTTGCTTCACTCAACATCATGTTTTCCAGGTTCATCCATGTTGTTGCAAGTAGAGATTTTCTCCTTTTTCAGGGCTGATACTCCCCTGTGTATATATAGCACAGTTTCTGTATCCATTTATCCACTGATGGACACTTAGAGTCCATATCTTGGCTATTGTGAATGAAGCTGCAATGAGCAAGCAAGTGCAGCTGTCTCCTCTACATACTGGTTTTATTTCCGTTGGTAATTTACCCACCGGCACATTTTCCTTATTTCTTTCATCCATGGATGGGTCCTACCATGTACCATCTCAGAGAAGCTTAGGCACAGTTTGTTGGGATGTCAGACGCTGAGCAGAATGGCGCGTGCCCTCTACCTTCCAATGTCCAAAAAGGAATTCATTGAAAGATCAACATACAAAGCCTTTTTTGCCAGAAGAGTGGGTTGGTGAAAGGATAGGAATCTTTCAAAATGTTAGGTAGGCTTCCAGACTTTAAATCCTCCTCCCTAACAGATAGACTCAGACCCCGCTATCGAGCTGTAGGTAGCTCTTAGAGATCTTTCATTTCTAGATTTGAGTGCTTTGGGGTTTTTTTTGTTTTTGAGATGGAGTTTCTCTCTTGTTGCCCAAGCTGGAGTGCATTGGCATGATCTTGGCTCACTGCAACCACTGCCTCCCAGGTTCAAGCGATTCTCCTGCCTCAGCTTCCGGAGTAGCTAGGATTACAAGCACCCACCACCACACCTGGTTAATTTTTGTAGTTTTAGTAGAGATAGGGTTTCACCACGTTGGCCAGGCTGGTCTCAAACTCCCGACCTCAGGTGATCCACTAGCCTCGGCCTCCCAAAGTGCTGGAATTACAGGAGTGAGCCACTGCACCCGGCCTAGATTTGAGCACTTTGCTATCCTAGGTTCTCTTTCCTGGCACAGGACACAATTTGATTCTGCATGTCAGTGATTAGAGTTGTGCCCCCTGAACTGAACAGCCATAGATAGCAAGGCTTTAAGGAAGGGAACTGTCCAGATGACCTCTTTGGATGCCTGATTACTACAGAGTTTATGCAAAGACTCAGGACAGTACAAGTCAGCAAAGCACGTAGGCTTGGTTTCCAGGCTCACACCAGAGCCACTGAAGAACTTAGACACATACCAGCTTTCTTAGGTCCAATATCTGCCACCTAAGTTCCCATGTCACTGATGGGAAAATAAAAACTAATGGCATAGTTTCATTGTTTCTTTATAAGCAGAGGAAAAGTACAAATTGAAACTGAAAAGTGTTTACTCAGACTCAAACTCAAAAATTTCAGCATTGTTTAGACACTGCTCTCCAGTCATTGGCTTCCCAAGAGATGGGTTTCAGGGTGATCTTTCTTGCACACCATCATCCTCGACCATTTACTGAGTGGCCTTGAGACGCTCAGGAAGAGTTGTCACTCCTCAGCCTCATTCCTGTTAATTTCCTGTCTGCCTTTTGGTTGTGCAGATCTTGCTGGGTCAGAAATACAACCACTCTGTGGACTGGTGGTCCTTCGGGGTTCTCCTTTATGAAATGCTGATTGGTCAGTCGCCTTTCCACGGGCAGGATGAGGAGGAGCTCTTCCACTCCATCCGCATGGACAATCCCTTTTACCCACGGTGGCTGGAGAAGGAAGCAAAGGACCTTCTGGTGAAGGTAAGAAGCGAAGCCAAGAGCGTCTTCATAAGACGAGCATTAGGTCTTCTGGTCAGTTTTCTGTTCCTCTTAGTTTCCAACTTGCATGTGGCAAACAATGATTATTATTGAACTGGGTTTAAATGGGATGTGCACCGTCTGTGTTTTAATAGAGGCACCAATATTATGAGCATTAAATGTCAAAATGAGTGTAAGAGAAACCCTCATGTGCATCAGTTATAACATAACGGCCCAGGAACCAGTTCCATGACCTTGAATACGCTCACCTGGAGATGTAGTTGGTTCATTAAACAAGCACAGTGTGTGGCTTAAAAATCAATCTTCTAGCTACTTGGGAGGTTGAGGCAGGAGGATTGAAGTTGGAAGTGTGAGGTCAGCCTGGGCAATGTATCGAGACCCCTGTCTCCAAAACAATAAAGGGGAAAAAAAAAAGAAACAAAATGGGCATTTAGGCTGGGTGCAGTAGCTCACACCTGTAATCCCAGCACTTTGGGAGGCCAAGGTGAGCGGATCACCTGAGGTCAGGAGTTTGAGACCAGCCTGACCAACATGGAGAAACACGGTCTCTACTGAAAATACAAAATTAGCCAGGCATAGTGGCACACGCCTGTGATCCCAGCTACTCAGAAGGCTGAGGCAGGAGAAAATGGGCATTTATGTTATATAGAGGGTTTTTTTTTATTTTACTCAGTCTTTTGTTTCCCATAGTTTTTTATTAGAAATATTCAGTCCAGTTCATCTTCCCCTGCCTCTGGTTGAAATCTTGGACAGGATGTATGACTTTTTGGCCTGCTCTTAGATAAAAGACAACCTATTGTCACTCTTATGTTATGAAACACTGTCTCAGTGGGGAAATTAAAACCATCCAGTCTGGGATATTATTCATCACATAACTTTTTTCTTTTTTGAGACAGTCTCACTCCCTCACCCAGGCTGCAGTGCAGTGGCATGATCTTGGCTCACTGCAACCTCCACCTCCCAGGTTAAAGCGATTCTCCTGCCTCAGCCTCCTGAGTAGCTGGGATCACAGGTGCACGACCACACTCACCTAAATTTTTGTATTTTTAGTAGAGGTGGAGTTTCACCATGTTGGCCAAGCTGGTCTTGAACTCCTGACCTCAAGGGATCTGCCCGCCTCGGCCTCCCAAAGTGCTGGGACTACAGATGTGAGCCACCATGCCCAGCCTCATCACATAAATTTTAATTTTAAAGCTGGGACTCCTGCTTCCTTTCCTCTGCTCAGAGCTCGTGATTGGCAGCTGCTCACTACTGGAGGAGACAGTGTTGTCATGCTCTTGCTGGCTGTGTTCTTGTTCTCTTCCATTCTAACTCCTGAGTTTCTGCTTCAGACCTTACCAGGTAGAAGCTGAGAGAGGAAAGAGGATGAGCAGAAAAAAACAGTTCTTATTCGGCTGGCAGCCTCCTACCCCTGAACTGGAGGATGGCTAAAGCTGAGACTTCAATGAGGCACTCTACTAGGTTCTGCAGAAATACTTATCCTTGCAGATGTGTTTGGCTGAAACCCTTGAGATACAGGCATTCAGTCCAGTCCCTGGCCTATATACTGTACCAACGCTGATTCTGCAAGACTCTCTCACTGTTGGTTTCCTGCCCAGCAGATTGTCTTGGGCAGTGTACTAGTCTGTTCTCATGCTGCTGTAAGGACATACCTAATACTGGGTAATTTATAAAGGAAAGAGGTTTAACTGACTCACAGTTCTGCATGGCTGGGGAGGCCTCAGGAAACTTGCAATCATGGCAGAAGGCACCTCTTCACAGGGCAGCAGGAGAGAGAATGAGAGCCAAGCGGGAAGGGGGAAGCCCCTTATGAAACTATACTCTCACTATCATAAGAACAGCATGGGGGGAAACCGCCCCCATGATTCAATCACCTCCCATCGAGTCCCTCCCGTGACACATGGGGATTATAGGATTATAATTCAAGATGAGATTCTGGGTGGGGACACAAAGCCAAACCATATCAGCCAGTACAGTTGACCTTTGAACAGCTCAGCAGTTAGAGGAGCCAACCTCCTATGCAATGACAAATCTGCATATAGCTTTTGAGTCCCCCAAAACGACCACCAATAACCTACTGTTGACCAGAAGCCTTACCAATAACACAAAGTCAATTAACACATGTGTTATATGTTATATGTATGATATACTGTATTCTTACAATCTAAGAAGCTACAGAAGAAAATTCTATTAAGAAAATTATAGGAAAATGTGTTTACTGTTCATTAAGTGGAAGTAGATCATCATAAAGATCTTCATCCTTGTCTTCATGTTGAGAGGGCTGAGGAAGAGGGGGAGTTGGTCTTGCTGTCTTAGGAGTGGCAGAGGCAAAAGAGGTGGAGGAGGTGGAAGGGAGGCAGGAGAGGCAGGCACACTTGGTGTAAATTTGATTGAAAAAATCTACATATTAGTGGACTGGTGCAGTTCAAATCCAGGTTCATCAAGGGTCAATTGCACTTAAAATACCTACAGACCAGCTCTCCCCAACCTGCCCTACCCACTGTCCACCAGAAATATTGTTGACTTCTTCACTCTAACAAACTCTGAGAGTACAGGCTATTACCATCTTAGCAGCAATCTCCAGAATTCACCATCAAAACGGAATTCAGCGCCCTATCCGTGGTAGCCCAGGATCCATCGAGAATACAGGCACAGTATTACAGGTGGAAACTGGGCTCTGAGAATCACAAGGTGTGAGCCAGGAGCTCCCAAGGCAAACCCACGTGGAGACAGAGGAACACCTGAGAGCCATCAAGAAAGATCTGGACTCTAGACAGACTCAGAGTTGGCCTTTTTTGAGGATGCGAAATATTCTCCACAGTGTATGGGCGTAGCAAGTTGTAGAATGAAATGAATCATGTCAATACAACATGCTAAATACATAGAAGAATAATAAGGACCTACATATACTGAGCTGTCCCAGCAAATATTTGGGTCAAAGAGACCCATCACTGTAATCAAGAGCCTAGCACATCTAGGCTGGGTGTGGTGGCTCATGCCTGGAACCCTCGCCCTTTGAAAGGCTAAGGTGGGAGGATTGCTTGAGCAGCCCGAAATTCAAGACCAGCCTGGGCAACATAGCAAGACCCCATCTCTACAAAAAATCTAAAAATTAGCCAGGTAGGGTGGCTGGCGCCTATGGTCTCAGCTACTCAGGAGGCTGAGATGGGAGGATCACTTGAGCCCACAAGGTGGAGGTTACAATGAGCCATGATCACACCACTGCACTCCAGCCTAGGTGACAGAGCAAGACCCTGTCCCCCCCGCAAAAAAAAAAGAGTCTAGCACATCTAAAGGAAGTGGACCAAGAATGCAGGTGTTTTGGAAGAAACATTGTTTTGATTTCTGGCATTTCATATGTCAGCTGGTTAAAAAATAATCATCATTTAGAGAAATAATTTTTAGCCTTGTTCGTGCTATATTGAAAATGGGAATAGGATAAGATCCTTCAACATTGGAAGCTATCCATGGGTTCTAAATTAAAAACTAGAAAAATATTAGCAGGCTCATCTTTTTTCACTAATCTACTTTTTTGCTTTTGAAGAAGTACTTAGAATTAAATGTAAAGGGAATACACTTCCACCTCTCTAATAAAAGTGACAACTTGTCTTGGGCATTAGAAACTTGGAGGCAACTCCAGGGCTCTCCCTGGAAAATCAAGATCTTGAATCTGAGAAGTGCTGACAAAGCCCTCACAGGATCCCCAGCCCAGGGGTAAAGGAACAAGATGTTTAAAAATTTGAGCCACTTCCATTCAGCTTTCACTTTCTGACTATGATCCAAACAAGCAATAGCTTAGAAAACTCCCTCAACAATCAATTAAAGGCACTTTTAATGACCAAACACAGATAAAATGAAAACTAATCTCAAAATTAACCAATTTTTTTAAAAAGGCTGACAACAGTAAAAATAAGTTAGTGGGAGCCGGGCACGGTGGCTCACGCCTGTAATCCCAGCACTTTGGGAGGCCGAGATGGGCGGGTCATGAGGTCAGGAGATCCAGACCATCCTGGCTTACACGGTGAAACCCCATCTCTACTAAAAATACAAAAAAAATTAGCCAGGTGTTGTGGCGGGCGCCTGTGGTCCCAGCTACTTGGGAGGCTGAGGCAGGAAAATGGTGTGAACCCGGGAGGCGGAGCTTGTAGTGAACCGAGATCACACCACTGCACTCCAGCCTGGGCGACAGAGCAAGACTCCATCTCAAAAAAATAAAAAATAAAAAAAATAATAAGTTAGTGGGATCTGGATATAAAGTTTTTTATTTTATATAAAGGCAGGTTCAAACACTATTACAATTGCTACATTTGTAGCAATAAATGTAGCAATCGTAATAATGAACTCAGTGTGAAATGTGTCAGCTTGGGCTCCATAACAAGATATCACAGACTGAGTGGGTTAAACAACAGACATTTCTTTCTCACAGTTTTAGAGGCAGAAAGTCCAAGATTAAGGTCCAGCAGTGTCAGTTCCTGATGAGGACTCTCTTCCTGGCTGGTAGACAGCTGCCTTCTTGTTGTGTCCTTACAGCAGAGAGAGAGAGAGATAAACTCTGGTCTCTCTTTCATGTGAGACTTCTAGCCCTATTGGATCAAGACCTTACCCCATGACCTCATTTAACCCGAATTATCTCCATAAAGCCCTTACCTACAGTTACATTGTGGGTTAGGGCATCAACATGTGTATTTTGAGAGGACGCCATTCAGTCCAAAGCATGAGGCTGCACTGCAAAGCCTGGGCCAGCAAAACCCACTGGAAAAAAGTGAGCACAAGGCTTAGTCTGTACAACCTGAGGCGTGAGAGCACCTCCAGACTCAGGGGCTGTCTCCAAGTGAGTCCCAAGGTGGAGGCTCTGGAGGGAGAGTCACAATCCCCCAACACCCCTCATGGCCCATAAATGCCAGCTTCCCCCTGTGCTTCACAAACCCAGCCTACCTTGAGGATATGCAATACTTCAGGCCAGGACGGAGAGTGAAGGAGGGACAGAGGTAACCAGAAGTAATTCCGTGGAGAGAAGTTGGAAGTGATGATTTCCAAGGAGAGAAAGATTGGATGGGAAGAAAGGGTTCCTTCCAGTTGGAGGAGAAAAGGTGAAAAGCCGTGTGCTGGAATCCTACTCAGCAATGAAAAGGAACAAACTATTGATCTATAAAACAACCCAAGGCATTATGCTGAGTGCAAAAAGCCAATCTCAAAAGATCACATACTCTCTGAGTCCATTGATATAACTTCATTAAAGTGGCAACACCATAGAAATGGAAGTCAGATTAGTGGTTGCCTGGGGTTGGGGTGCTGGGGACAGGAGGGTGGGCGTGACTCTCAGGATGCAGCACAGGTAGATCTTTGCAGTTATGGAACAGTTTGTATCTTGCTTGGCGTGGAGGTTGCCCATATCTGCACATGTGATAAAATGGCATAAGTAGTATATACACACACGGTACCAGGCCAGCTCCTAATCTTATGCTATCATTACGTGGGATGGAACCGTTGGGAGAAATAGGGTGAAGAGCACCCAGGACATCTCTGTACTGTCTTATCAACATCCTGTGAATCTATAATTATTTAAAAACAAAACTAAATCTAAGGCTAAATGCCTTGCAAACACCCAAATAAAAAGTCATCTGCAGAGTTTCAGTGGCAAGAGAAAGAGTTGCCACAAGAGAAGAAAATAAATTTGGTTGAATAGAGCAGAAACTAAGATAATAAAGTTTAAAGAAGCAAACAAGAGGACTGGTGGGTGAAAGAGGTTCTTTTCTTTTTTAAGACAGAGTGTCGCTCTGTCACCCAGGCTGGAGTGCAGTGGTGCAGTCTCAGCTCACTGCAGCCTATGCTTCCCAGGCTCAAGCAATTCTCCAGCCTCAGTCTTCCATGAAGCTGGGACTACAGGTGCATGCCACCAATGCCCAGCTGATTTTTGTATTTTTTGTAGAGACGGGTTTTGCCATGTTCCCCAGGCAGGTCTCAAATTCTGGAGCTCAAAGCAATCTGCCCGCCTCAGCCTCCCAATGTGCTGGGATTACAGGCATGAGCCACCATTCTCAGTAAAAAGAAGTTCTAAATGAAGCTTGCCCAACCCACGCCCTGCATACAGCCCAGGATGGCTTTGAATGCAGCCCAACACAAATTCCTAAACTTTATGACATTACGACATTTTTTGTGATTTTTGTTTTAGTTCATCAGCTATTGTTAGTGTTAGTGTATTTTAGGTGTGGCCCAAGACAATCCTTCTTCCAATGCGGCCCAAGGAAGCCAAAAGATTGGACACTGCTGTTCAAAGTTGACATAGAAGAGTTTGGACTTGTTATTTCCCATGTGAGTTAGTAAAACTTCCATGAACTTTCTCTTACACATATTCTTGCAGTTGGGCTGATAAAATTAATTTCCATTATGCAATCTGCTGCCCATAAACTGGCTTGCAGCTTTATCTCTATTCCTCCTTTGCTTTGATCCAACAGCCCCCACATTCTTGAGCCCCATTTGTTGCAAAAATAAAAGGTAATGCCCTTTCTCAGAAACGTCTTCTAGGGAATTTGACAAAATGTTATGAAACCCAGAAGTCATAGGTCCTCCGGAAAAGCTGAGGATAGCAGCATTTCATGGCATCTGTGACAGCAGCAGTGCCAGACCCGTTGCCA
The DNA here is from genome assembly GCF_000001405.40 of Homo sapiens. Classification (NCBI taxonomy): domain Eukaryota; kingdom Metazoa; phylum Chordata; class Mammalia; order Primates; family Hominidae; genus Homo; species Homo sapiens. The sequence goes on along the minus strand of NC_000010.11, from coordinate 6,435,239 downwards.
TTGGCCCACCTAGGGCATGGATGCATGTCGTGCACTGAACAATTGCCCACTGGGAGAGGCTGTGCTCTGGCAAGAATTCCAGTGGGGACACTGCTGTCCAGTTGATGATTGCCAAAGAAACACCCTTTACTCCCCGTCTCTACTAAAAGTACAAAAAATTAGCCAGGTGTGGTGGTGGGCGCCTGTAGTCCCAGCTACTCGGGAGGCTGAGGCAAGAGAATGGCATGAACGCGGGAGGCGGAGCTTGCAGTGAGCCGAGATCGCGCCACTGCACTCCAGCCTGGGTGACAGAGCAAGACTCCATCTCAAAAAAAAGAAAAAAAACACTCTTTACTTCCTCATTTATCCATCCAGGATGTCCTGTCTATTTGTTTGAAAATGATGGGAAACTAATGATATAGAACATAAATATCTCTTCCTTTCATAGAAAGACATATCTGAGGAGGGACTGAAGAGGGAAGGCAGGTTCCAGGTACAATCTGTCAGCACTACTGCTGGCTGTCCTCTGCAGCCTGGAGCTGCTTTCTTGCACAGACTGTCCAATAAACTTAAACAAACTTCAACTACATCCTGGCTATTTTTTCCCATCAATGTAAACCTCCGTCCTGACAGCTTTTACAGACAAAATCAAGTCTTCAGGTATTTTATTTCCTCAGTGCAGCTTTCCAGGGGCGGAGCTTCCAGCCTGGCCCCACTCCCATGAGGTCACCTGTCATCCTCAGGACCTCAGTGGGTTGAGTCGCTGCAAGGCAGAACATATACTAATTTACCGTTCTGTGCAAAACTGGAAAGAATATTGACGCTCAGAGCTGGAGACCATATGCTCTTCTCATTACACATTTAATTTTTTAAAATATATTTTTAAATTTTGCAGGTACACATCCAAGCTAAGAAAGCCCATTGACATGATCCTCTTGGTACAAATACCACATGTTCACTGGAAGAAATAGAATAGAAAACCCAGCCTGCAGCACACACGGCCCAGGGCAGTTACTTCCAGCCTACTTTGCTGAAGCATCTCATTAGAACAACATGAGCGAGGTTTTGGCCCCTTCCTGAGACACTTACGCCATCTATCTAATCTCGTTTCATCCAAATGTCCTTAAGAAGCAGAGACCAATCATTTATCATTTAGTATCATTGTTTCAGGAGAAGGGATATAGGGCAAGTCACTTATTCCTTTTGCTTCCTTTTTTTTTTTTTTTTTTTAAGGAGTCTTGCTCTGTTGCCCAGGCTGGAGTGCAGTGGTGGTGCGATCTCGGCTCACTGCAACCTCCACCTCCCAGGTTCAAATGATTCTCCTGCCTCAGCCTCCCGCATAGCTGGGGTTACAGGCGTCCACCACCACACCCGGCTAATTTTTGTATTTTTAGTAGAGATGGGGTTTCACTATGTTGGCTAGGCTGGTCTCAAACTCCTGACCTCAGGTGATCCACCCACCTCAGCCTCCCAAAGTGACGGGATTACAGGCATGAGCCACCGTGCCCAGCCCCTCTTTGCTTCTAAAACATCAATCAGCTCCATGTGATGACTCCTGCTGTTTTATGGTTTGTATAAATGTATGGGGTGCAGGTGTCATTTCGTTACCTATGTGGATTGCACAGTGGTGATGAAGGGCTTTTAGTACCCACTCCATTTTCTGAGTCTACAGAAAAATATATCTTACCGTGAACTTGGTGCTTCTTTTCTATGCTGAAAACAGGCAACCGAGATAAAATGAGGATAGAAGATGCGTGATCTGCAGATAAACAAAATGGAAAGACAGCTTATTCACTTACTCTGCAGGCATCTACTGAGCATCTATGTTGTGCACGGCACTATGCTAGCTTCTGTAAGGAATAGATATGTCAATGGTGCCCGGCCTCCAGAGCTTACAGTGTGGTAGGAAAGAAGACAACCTTGGAAAAAAGATACAATGTGCTAATTCTCCAGTGGAGCGAAGATGTTGTGTGGTACACAGATGAGAGATTATCCATCAGGATGAGGGGGAAGGAGGCCGCTTGTCATCAAAGTGCTAGATCCTCTGAAGCTCGGCTTCCTCAGCTGACAACTGGGATGATGAATTTGTTTCTCTTAGAATTTGTTTGAAAATCACTGAGGCATCTAGCACAGTGCCTGCCTCTCAAAGAACATTGGTTGGAGTGGATGATGTATCAGTCGTAAGAATCATGAGTGATGTGAATGATGTATGATAGGGTGATCAATCCTGAATATGACTTGAACAGAAGAGAGAGAGCTCCCTGTCAGGGGAGGTAATCAAAGAAAGTTTCACAAGGAAAAGGGGGTGAAAGCTGAGCCCTGAAAGATAAGGCAGAATTTAAAGATGAGGGGAGGGAAGCAGGAGTCGACTAGGGGAGGGTATCTCATGGCAAGATGGAAATGTCATTAGTGAGGGACAGAGACAGGAAGGCAGGTGGTGTTTTCGGTGAGCAGAAATGTCTGGACTGGAGAGGGTCCTAATGGGAAATGGAAGGTCCTGTGAGTCAGCGTCAGACTCCAGAGAGCCTTGAATGCCAGCCGAGGACCCGAGGATGTCAGAACTCTCCAAGCCCTAGAGATCACCTTGTCTAGCCCTTCCTTTACACACGAGGAAACTGAGACTCAGAAAACTTATCCAAGGCGACGTGGGTAGTCAGTCTCTCGGATAGCTGTCGTGTTATTTCCACCGTGCAGTGGCTTTCTAATTGGGTACTTTGGAACCCCAAGTTTCCCTAGAGAGTCCTCAGCAGTCCCCATATGGTAAGGGGGAGAGAGGAAGTTGAGACTGCTAAGAATTTGCCAATCAGATACACCGGGTGATTGCACAAACATTTCACCCGGAACTTTAAAAGATTCTCCTACTTTTTTTTAAAAAAGCGAAAAAACTTCACTTTACAATAGCATGTTGTTTGGTCTTTATATTTTTTTGGTAGAACGGAGCCTTTGAAGATTTTCAAGTACTCAGATAACACAAGTGAAGCACTATTTCAGAACATGCAGGCTGGCTATGTTTATGAGCAGTAAAAACAAGAGACTCGCAATTTAGGTGTGAATGGAGGTCAAGTCCCTGGGAAAGCCTCCTGGAAAATCACGCGTTCCACCATGTTTTCTGTTTTAAAGAACCTTAGGCTCCTTAAAATGCCCTATAACTCATGGTTACTTCATAAATAAACATCTAGCTGATGTAAGAATAACCGGTAACTACTCCAGACACCCAGGGGACCTGTTACTTTTCTAAGTTAATGTTTAGACTCTCCTGTTTCTTAATGCCCTTGACAGGTTTTATTTAAGTTTGAAAAATATCCAAGTTTCTTTCCTGTCTTGCCAGTGTTCATTTTAACTTCTTAGGCAGAAAGAACAGGAGAAGGAACAGTGCAGAGAGGAATGTACATATGTATGTATGTGCCAGCTCAGAAATTATTAGATGGACCTTGAATTAAATATTGCTCCTCCAGCAGGTTTGCAGGAGCTGAGGGTAATTCTCTTCACTCAGATGCCTTGTAGAGTCCAAAGCTGACTGTCTGGGACTAGTTTCTATTATACCTGAGTCCCCACAATGCTGGAATCATTCTAAGAATGCAGCTTTGTAAGAAATCAGACTGGAGTGATGGATAATTGATCAAATGACAAATTATCACTGACTCTATGCTGTTGGGTGTAACAGACCAGGAGTTATACTGCACAAATGCGTGCGTGTGTGTGCATGTGTTCCTGTACGTGTGTGTATGCGTGTGTATGCCTGTCCGTGTGCGTGTGCTCACATTTGTGTTTTAGTGGGTGTGCAGGTGTATGTGTTCATGTCCATGTGCATGTGTATGCATGTGTTCATGTGTATGTATGTCTGCACGTGCTCACATTTATGTGCATGTGTGCCAGTGTGTGTTTATGTCCATGTGTGTATGCCGTCACATGTGCCTGTCTGTGTGCACGTGTGTGCCTGTCTATGTGCGTGTTTGTGTGTGTATTGCTGTCTTATAAATCGTCACATCAGCCCTGTTAGGAGGGCACTTGGCTTACTTTACAGGTGAGGAAACTGACTCAGGTTTGTCAGTTGCCTAAGGTCCAATTAATAACACAGGGCAAAGCCGGTTTCAAATCAGGTCTATGCACCTCAGAAGATAACGTGTCAGACTCCAGCAAATTTAGAAAGGCTTCTTCAAGGGAGAGTGCCAGGACAGGTTGACTTTAGTCAGTCCTGATGAAGGTGAGTAGAAAAATGAGGTTAGAAAAGAAGGGGCTGGTGCACCAGGAAGCACCACGACCTCCTGATGCAAAAGGGTCATCCCTGGAGACCTCAGGGCTCCTGCTCTGCTCCCTTTCAGCTCTTCGTGCGAGAACCTGAGAAGAGGCTGGGCGTGAGGGGAGACATCCGCCAGCACCCTTTGTTTCGGGAGATCAACTGGGAGGAACTTGAACGGAAGGAGATTGACCCACCGTTCCGGCCGAAAGTGGTAAGGACTCGCTCATGGGCCGCTTGGTGTCAGCCACTCTCCCTCCGCTCAGGGCCGTCTGCCTGTCCAAGTCACCGCAGCTGCTCACCCCTGCCGGTGCCCCAACTCCCCACCAGCCCCACTCTCCAGGAGGAATGCACGTCTCTAACACATGTTACTGGGCTGGTGGGGCAGGGAGGGGAGGTCACTCTTGTTTGCAAAATTTAATCTCTGTCGTCAAGATGCGCCTGCATGAAGAATGGATTGCTGTGTGTCCACGCCTTAGGTTGAATATGAATTTGTGAGGGTGACTATTAAACAAGATGGGGGTTGTGCACATGACACATACGTACTTAATGGTCCAGTCTGGGTAACCCAAACTTGGACATAAACCCTGCATCCTACGTCAGGAATTTTGGAGCTGTTTTTTCCATGATGTTTATTAAAGTATCTGTAAAGTGCTCATATAACGACATTTCCTAAGGGTAATTGTTAGGTGTTCTTTGGTTTAAGGGAGAAACTAACTAAATCCGTGCTTTAAAAAAGATAGGTCTGTACATTTCCATTTATGTCCTCACTGGCAAAAGTCATTAAGCTACATCAGCAAAGGCAGAATGACCTGGCTCACCTGCGAGACGGGCCACCATAAAGTGAAGTCAAAAATAAAGCAAGGTTGGGCTGGGCATGGTGGCTCACGCCTGTAATCCCAGCACTTTGGAAAGCCGAGGCGGGTGGATCACCTGAGGTCAGGAGTTCGAGGTCAGCCTGGCCAACATGGTGAAACCTTGTCTCTACTAAAAATACAAAAATTAGCTGGGCATGGTTGCGGGCGCCTATAATCCTGGCTACTCGGGAGGCTGAGGTGGGAGGATTGCCTGAGCCCAGAAGTTTGAGACTAGCCTAGGCAACATAGTGAAACCCCATCTCTACAAAATTAAGTGGGCTTGGTGGTGCATGCCTGTAGTTCAAACTCCTCAGTAGGCCAAGACAGGAGGATTACTTGAGCCCAAGAGGATGCAGTGAGCTGGGTTCACACCACTGCACTCCAGCCTGGTGACAGAGCGAGAGACTGTCTCCAAAAATAAAACTTTTTAGAAAAACAACAAAAAAAAGTCATTAAGAAAGTAAATTTTAAGTTATGTATATCACAATTTCTAAAAATAATGATTTTTAAAAGAGTAGAGCAAAGTTGTGGGTTTGCCAGCCTTAACCATTCCCTGTGATTGCCTGGATAGACATGGGCCATATCCGTGCTGAAGGGGGCCAGGCTCATGGACTTCCCAACAGATTCCACCCCAGAGAACGCACAGGCTATTAGTCATGATAGCGAATGGCCAGAAGAAGCAGGTGCATCTCATTCCCAGGGCAAGAATAGTTGTTCTCAACATCTGTCCCAAGCTCCAGTGATGTTCCAAGGACCCAACAGGCCAGCCTCAAGCACTCTAATTACTTGTGACAGAACCACATCTAATACGTGGGTTAGTCATTTGTGATAAAATAAAAATTTTACCTTGTTTTTAGCTATCAGAACTATTAAACCATGTCTCACCTTCCACTGCAGATTAAAATTGACTTAATATTTTGCACATAAAAATCAAAACTTTGATCTAAGCTTACCCTAAAGGACATTCCCAGTTCTGCCAGTAGGAAACTTTCCCTGACCTGTGGTCTGAGCTGCCATTGACCTCACAGCCCCAGGGCCCCTTGGAGGGTGGGAGGGGCCTGGTTCTTCATTTCGCTTCTCTGTGTTCATAGCACTTTCTGTTGATAATGGTTGTTCTCAATCTTGGGACACTGAATTGAACACCATACTGAACAGCATGTATGAAATAGATGTTTGCTTTCCCTTTCTCTGTTGTTTGGTTTGGTTTTGGTTTTTTTGCCATGAAAACCAATGGACCAAGTGGTCTGAAAGGAGTCTGTCCCAGTCTGTGCTGTCTAAAAAAGCCCAAGATACTTACTAATAAAATTAACAAGGGCAGGGGACTGACAACAGCCAAGAACGTTGATAAAAGAACAGGAATATGTAATTGTGAAATTCCTTCTCTCTTCCCATCCCTCCGCTCACACCCCCTCACTCCCTCTCCCCACCACCCTCCCTTATCCCCACCTTGTGTTCCATGAAAACTGAAGAGGCAGAGGTCAAATTCAGGTGGATCACTTTTTCAAAGGTTGCCAACCCTGCTTCATGTAAACCATTAGAAACATTAGATCCCATTTGAATGTCTACAGTCGTAGTCTTTCTGTGAATTTATGAATTTATATTATTATTAAGCTGAGGACACAGGATCACAGCCATGTTCAATGAGAGCTGGGCATGGTCATCTGTAGGCATTGCCTCCATTTAGTGTCTCTGCAAACACCAACTTTGCCATACGCAGATCACGGCCTAGATAACAAAAGTGAAGATCATGAACTTAATGGCTGATTTTTCTTCTCTTTCTTTCTTCCCTTAAACTCTGACTAAGAAATCACCATTTGACTGCAGCAATTTCGACAAAGAATTCTTAAACGAGAAGCCCCGGCTGTCATTTGCCGACAGAGCACTGATCAACAGCATGGACCAGAATATGTTCAGGAACTTTTCCTTCATGAACCCCGGGATGGAGCGGCTGATATCCTGAATCTTGCCCCTCCAGAGACAGGAAAGAATTTGCCTTCTCCCTGGGAACTGGTTCAAGAGACACTGCTTGGGTTCCTTTTTCAACTTGGAAAAAGAAAGAAACACTCAACAATAAAGACTGAGACCCGTTCGCCCCCATGTGACTTTTATCTGTAGCAGAAACCAAGTCTACTTCACTAATGACGATGCCGTGTGTCTCGTCTCCTGACATGTCTCACAGACGCTCCTGAAGTTAGGTCATTACTAACCATAGTTATTTACTTGAAAGATGGGTCTCCGCACTTGGAAAGGTTTCAAGACTTGATACTGCAATAAATTATGGCTCTTCACCTGGGCGCCAACTGCTGATCAATGAAATGCTTGTTGAATCAGGGGCAAACGGAGTACAGACGTCTCAAGACTGAAACGGCCCCATTGCCTGGTCTAGTAGCGGATCTCACTCAGCCGCAGACAAGTAATCACTAACCCGTTTTATTCTATTCCTATCTGTGGATGTGTAAATGGCTGGGGGGCCAGCCCTGGATAGGTTTTTATGGGAATTCTTTACAATAAACATAGCTTGTAACTTGAGATCTACAAATCCATTCATCCTGATTGGGCATGAAATCCATGGTCAAGAGGACAAGTGGAAAGTGAGAGGGAAGGTTTGCTAGACACCTTCGCTTGTTATCTTGTCAAGATAGAAAAGATAGTATCATTTCACCCTTGCCAGTAAAAACCTTTCCATCCACCCATTCTCAGCAGACTCCAGTATTGGCACAGTCACTCACTGCCATTCTCACACTATAACAAGAAAAGAAATGAAGTGCATAAGTCTCCTGGGAAAAGAACCTTAACCCCTTCTCGTGCCATGACTGGTGATTTCATGACTCATAAGCCCCTCCGTAGGCATCATTCAAGATCAATGGCCCATGCATGCTGTTTGCAGCAGTCAATTGAGTTGAATTAGAATTCCAACCATACATTTTAAAGGTATTTGTGCTGTGTGTATATTTTGATAAAATGTTGTGACTTCATGGCAAACAGGTGGATGTGTAAAAATGGAATAAAAAAAAAAAAAGAGTCCTCTTAATCGTTTACTTCCCCGCTTGCCCCCCACAAGAACTTGCTTCTGCTGTGTCAGTCCTCAAAATGTAGCTAGCATTGAGATGATGTTTTACAGTTGGGGGATTGGCTGGGCACGATGGCTCACGCCTGTAATCCCAGCACTTTGGGAGGCCAATGTGGGCAGATCACCTAAGGTCAGGAGTTCGAGACCAGCCTGGCCAATATGGTGAAACCCTGTCTCTACTAAAAATACAAAAATTAGCCAGGCGTGGTGGCGGGGGCCTATAATCCCAGCTACCTGGGAGGCTGAGGCAGGAGTAGAGTAAGACAAAGGGTGAGGAAGTCAGATGACATTAAGGCAATTGTAAGAAAAGCAAGTCTGCATAATATTCGGAGTCACTAGCCTACCTCATCACATGGCTGGAAATAACTTTAGATATTATATTTAAAATAGAATAATTAATATAAGCAGACTGTTGACAGTCTGCAGGTGTGCTGGAACATTTTCCTGACTATACGGAGCTCTTGTGATTTTTTTTAAATAGACACTCCCCTAAAATGAACACGAGTAACCTCATTTAAGGATGGGCATCTATCTTCAGATGTGTCCATTCAGGTGTCCGGGCCCTTTGTTCTGAAAATAGCACCATGACTACAAACCTCTAGTTATGTGAGAAGGCGACACTTGTCCTCCCCTTGCTCCAAATGAAAATGCTCACACATGTTTACCAAATTCACCTGCTTGAAGGAGGGAGAGGGTCCTTTAAGGCCCTGGATGGGCCAGTGGAGGGCAGGGAGCCGCCCGTTCTGTTCTGATCTCTGCTCTGCTTTGCATTTGCTGTGAAGCCCTGAACAAGTCATTTCATCTTTTGGGGCCTCCAAGTAATGGAGGTGAAGATGCTGTCTAAAGTCCCGTCTCACTAGAGTGATGGGGTCGGTGAAGACGCTATCTAAAGTCCCTTCTCACTAGAGCAATGGGGTTGGTGAAGACGCTATCTAAAGTCCTCACTAGAGCGCTTTCTGGTTCTAAATCTGAATCAAAATCCTGCAAAGTTAAAAGGTCAGTGAGCAACACTTTCCAAAACACAGACACTCGTGGATTCCACTCGCTGCAGGCCTGGGGGCAGCTCTACCCCATTTTCCTTCCAGTCGTCCTCTCCTCACTCTGGGTTCCCACATACCCCTGCCCCAGCACCCAGCATCCTCCTGACACCCAGAGACCCCAACAGGACCCCTACCAGGAGACAAATAAGTGAAGACTGTTGGCTCTTAGAAACAGGAACCAACGCAACTTTTATCCCCTCCACTAGACCAAAATAAGGTCTATTCATCATTTGGTTTTGTTTGTTTTATTTTTTATTTTTTTGAATTAGAGACAGAGTCTCCCTATGTTTCCTAGGCTGGTCTTGAACTCCTGGACTCAAATGATCCCCCTGCCTCACTCTACCAAAGTGCTGGGATTACAGGCCTCATCATTTGTTTTTAATAAATGTCATCTGTATGAATATGTCAGGTGACTAACAAGCTTACTATTTGCTTCGTATTTCTGAGTGTGCGAAGTACTTGTTACTTCCTTCTATTCTTTCAGGTGTCCTCTGAAATTGCTTATTAATATCCCTATTTAATAGGTGAGAGACCTGGCCAGGTGCGGTGGTTCACGCCTGTAATCCCAGCACTTTGGGAGACCCAGGCAGGCAGATCATGAGGTCAGGAGTTTGAGACCAGCCTGACCAACATGGTGAAACCCCGTCTACTAAAAATACAAAAAATTAGCTGAGCATGGTGGCACGCGTCTGTAATCCCAGCTACTCAGGAGGCTGAGGCAGGAGAATCGCTTGAACTCGGGAGGCGGAGGTCGCAGTGAGCTGAGATCGCGCTACTGCACTCCAGCCTGGGCGACAGAGCAAGACTCTGTTTCAAAAAAAAAAAAAAAAATAGAGGAGAGACCTGAGGCCCAGGGAGACCATAAAGCTTACACTAGAGGGTTGACCAGTGGAGACTTGAACCCAGAACTCTTAGCATCAGATCTTGCTTCATTCCAGAGTGCAGGGTTTCAGCGACATCCACCAATCAGCATCTGATGATTGTTCACTAAAGTTTTAAGTGGACTTCCTAATTCAGGGCCACACCTGGCTTACCTGTCCCCCTTCTAGGGGACGCAGTGCGGGGGCCAGTCTCTTCGATGCCGGTCCTCTCATCACCACTCCCAGTTCCCCTCCACTTTGCACTTTAGCCTAGACTCAACCTTGCCAATAGAAATGAGAACTTTACCTCAGGGTATAGTTAAAGGTTTTGGAAAAAGAGAGATCAGTGCTTCTTTTTGGAAGATACAGACTGAGAGTTTGGCTGAGAGCTCCCTGTGCACGAGAGGCTGGCCACAGAGAGAGCATTGACCAGGATTTTCTCAGATCCCGTCCAGCAAGACCATGCTTAGGAGAGAGGAAGAAGTCGTAAATCAGCCAGAGAAGAAGAAATGCCTTTGTTACATCATAAAACTGCAGGCAGGGGTCTGAGCTCTCAGAGCCTCTGTCTCCAATGGACCCATCAATGATGGCCAACAGAGGAAGCATCAGCCTTAAACACCCACAGACCGGGAACATCCCAGAACCCACTCACAACAATGCAAACCAAGGAAGACTTCTCCTGCCACCTCTCTCCTTTCTCTGTCCTTTCCCAACTTCGGGGAAGAAGGAGCAGAAACCATGGTCATCGGACTGCGGAAGGAGAGGACTGAGCATGGGCGGGTGAGAAGTATGAAGACGCTGACCACGTGCCTTCCCCACCACAAGCCACCAGCACTGCCCTCTCGAGCTAGATGAGAGGACAGGGTCAACTTTAAATCGGTTTTCAATTATTCATGGCATTGCACATGTAAGTTACAGAAATGAATCTTGAGGGAGCAACTGAAGGACATGTCTAATGTCACCGGAAAGGTCATGGGACCTCTGAGATTTCAGCCAAAGTTTGGAAGAATGAGCCCCACAGAGCAGGTCTGAATGGATGGTGGGCGCAAATAATAAAGGTGTTGGTTTGGTTTGGTTTTGCCCCGAGAATTTTGCTTGTTTACACACAGACAAGCCCTAGAGTGACAGTGATGTTGCTCTTGGTGCCACAGCTACACAGGAGATTTCTTGCACGTAGGGACCACGCTCTTTACCACCGAGCCTACCACCCTGGCAGACACTCCTCCATCACGTGCATTTGTTGAGTGAGTGGGTGAATAGGATGTGGGTGAGCACGTCTCTACAATCCTCTGTCTGTGTGGGGCCTGGCACACGAGAATGCCTGGTGGAAATTACTTCGTCCTACAGGCACTACAGGATTAACTGGACTTAGGTATCAGGTCCTCTCTCCTGAAGAATTTTAGACAGAGGCAAAAACCAGATGGCCAAGAGAAGAGGCATTTGGTAAAGACCACAAGGCAGCCAAAGGGATGGGCAGCAGAAGCCAGGAGGTAGGGTCGGTCACAGTAGCAGAGACACAGGGTCGTCCTGCCACCGCAGTGTGGGTGACTCAAGGAGGGCTAAGACTAGCAACTTCCAGTAAGTTGCTCTCACTTCCCGGAGTTACTGAGGGGTCCCCAAGGTGCTGGGAGTCTTGCAGGCAGCCCTCCAGTCAGTCCTGTGTTATTCCTCTCTCTGACTCAGGGAACCATCCTGATGGGCAGCAGCCCCCAGCCGACGGCAGGCCGGGGAATGAAGCCACTGGCTGCTCTCCTTCCCTCAATGCCGTCTGCTCAGTCTCCTGGAGGGTCAGTGATGAGGGAAGGAGCCCCAACTTCCTTGTTTCTCCCTGCGTCCTAAATAAGTCCGGAACCCAAAGAGACTGAGTGTGTCCCTGGGGCATGCGTGTGCCTGTGTGTGTATATCAGAGCAAGACACCACACTGCCGTGAGCACCAGGCTGGCTGACTCATTGTTCCCTACATGCCTGATGTCTGCTCCTGCTCTAGGGCTTTTGCTCATTCTCTCCTACCAGGCTGAAAGGGCCAACACATCTCATAAACAACCCCAAAGCCAACCCACCCCAGGCCTGGCTGCAGCATCAGCCTCCTGCCTTTGCTGACCACACCAGCTGTTGCTGTCCAGAGATGCCTCCCACCTCTATTTGTCCTCTGAAATAAGCATAGTGAAGAGCTGGGCCAAACTCCCAGAGCCCAGAGATATTTGGAAATGGAGTAGGCGCCACCCAAGTTTGTTTCTGTACAGCACCCAACTCACTGTCTGAGAAGGACCCTCAGAGGTTGGCAGCAACTCCCACCAGGGGGTCATCTGAGAGGCACAGTGACCACAGTGATCAATGATGTCTCACCATGAGGACAGGAAGGAAATGCCCAGCCAGGGAACATGTTTTCTGCCCCCAGCTTCTGCCTTCCATGTCGTTTCTTCACTCTACTGCGGATGAAGCTTTGACTATAAAATATGCTGTTGGAATGCACCAACTGCCCTACTCCCAGGTGGCAGAAGGAGAGCTCAGTTTTCCTTCTGGAAAATTCTTGCAATTACCAGGTACTGGGTGAAGTGCTTTGTGTATATTACCTCATTTAACCCCTGACGACAATCTCTGAGGACAGCATCATTGTCTCCATTTTATCAACAAGGACACTGAGGTTTGGAAAGATTACACATCTTTCCCAGAATCATAGAAGAAGAGCTGGAACTAGATCCCAAGCCTGTTTGATGACAAAGCTTGTCCCTCTATCACCATAAGGGGAGGGACAGCAAGTGGGTTATGGAGTCAGGATGCCCGGGTCACACCCAGCCTCACCCCCGATGTGGTGTATAACCTTGGACAAGTCACTTAAACACTCAGCCTCAGTCTCCTCCTTTCTAAAATGAGGACCAAAAAATAAAGACAAAAAATAAAATAAAATAAGGACAATAATAGTGCTAGCCTCACAAGCCATATGAGAAGTGAATAACGCCATCTATGCAAAGCACTTGGAAGAGTACCTAATGTGGAATAGGTACCCACTAACATAGTATTATTATTTTATTGCTGCATCCCAACATAAATCATTTAGAGACCTCTTTCATAGGAAAAATAATTCTATCTGATTGATCACAAAGAAAGGGGGTATCAAACCTAAATATGAAGAAGTAAAAAATAAAAACTTCTGCTTTATTTTTCTTATACAGCTATAAAAGCAAGATACAATTTGTAAAAGTTAATACAAAGAAAACTACAAAAGTAATAACACTGACAGAACAAGACTGATTTTATGGTGATGATGACATTACGAGGCTAAAACTAAACGACTACCCTCCATGTCAATGTGTCTTAACTACCATGGTGTGGTTTCTTCTGAGTTCAGCACGGTTAGATGAGCACACATGGTGCAGTGACTCGATCTATGCACCACCTTTCTCTACTGGAACTATCAAGGAAGAGCCAGCTGTGCAGTGTGTCTTGATGTCATTCAACCTTCATTTGTCAAAAATGCTTAAGTGCATCTAGGCTTTTTCTTATAGCACATGACAAATTAATACCATTGGTGGAAATGAAGTCATGAACAAAATGCACCACAAACTCTGAATTCTGACACCGTCTAACAGAACTTTCTGCTGTGATGGAAATGTACCACATCTGCACTGCACAGTATGGTAGCCACTAGCCACATGGAGCTATTGTTGGCTTGAAATGTAGCTGAGATGAAGAAACTGAATTTTTCTTTCTTTGAGACAGGCCTCACTGTGTCACCCAGGATGGAGTGTATTGGCACAAATACAGCTCACTGCAGCCTCCACGTCCTGGGCTCAGGTGATCCTCCAATCTCAGCCTCCCAAGTAGCTGGGACCACAGATGTGCACCACCATGCCTGATTAATTTTTTGAGTTTTTGTAGAGACAGGGTCTCACTTTGTTACCCAGGCTGGTCTCAAATTCTTGGGCTCAAGGGATCCTTCCCCCTTAGCCTTCCAAAGTGCTGGGATTACAGGCATGAGCTACCATGCCCAGGCTACAACAATTATTATCTTCAGAAACACTAAGGATGTATTACATTCACATTCCATCCATGAACTAGACCAGGGGCTATAAAAATTCAGAATGTTAAAGAAACTTCCCAAAAGTAGATGAAAACTAGAGCTAGAAAATGTTGGGAGAATAAACAAATTAGAGTTTCAGTTCCAAAGTCCATGTCTAAATAATAATAATTAGAGAGGAAAAAAAGATCAAAGGGGAGGAAGTCATGAAAGACATAGTATAAGAAAACTCCCCAGAACTGAAATACATAGGTTTTCAATGTGAACAGACTATTTTGGTGTCCAATAAAACAAATGAAAAAAAGATCTACACCAAAGAATATAATTTAAAAAATGTCAGAACACTAGTGATGAGAGAGAGAGAAGTTTTTCTGAAAGCCTCCCATAAAAAGCAAAAGAGGCCACACACAGTGGATCAGGAAAATGGTATTGGACTGCTCACAGTAACAAAGTTACAAGACACTGGAACGATGTCTTCAAAATTCCAAGACAAAATAAATTTGAACATACAATTCTATAACTAGCCAATCTATGATTCAAATGTTAGAATATAATAGAGACATTTTCAGACAACCAATTTCTCAAAAAAATTATCCTCTGCCTACCTGCTATTGAGAGGATATATTTTACCAAAAAAAAGGCGGGAGTGAGGAAATAGGTCATCTCAGGGGAGGGAACTGAAGCAAGAGAGACAAAGACACAGGAACCTGGAAACCAAGGATCCCATGGAAGACTGACTGAAACAAAGGAAGTTCATGCAGTGATTATGAAAAGAAGTTAACGCCAGCAGCCGTGCCATAGTGGTAAAGTCTAGAGAACAACCAGTCAGACGGCAAGGGAGTGGAGCGTCCACACAAAGCAGCTCCCTTAGGGAAGAAGCCCAACTCACAGATTCGAAGGCATGGTGTGTTTAAGTGTATTAAAAGGAGATTTCGAGGCCTAGGCGGGTGGATCACGAGGTCAGGAGTTCGACACCAGCTTGACCAATATGGTGAAACCCCATCTCTACTAAAAATACAAAAATTAGCCAGGTGTGGTAGTGCGCACCTATAATCCCAGCTACTCAGGAGGCTGAGGCAGGAGAATCACTTGAACCCGGGAGGCAGAGATTGCAGTGAGCCGAGATCGCACCACTGCACTCCAGCCTGGGCGACAAGAGTGAGACTCTGTCTCAAAAAAAAGGAGATTTCGGCTGGGCACGTTGCCTCACACCTATAATCCTAGCACTTTGGGAGGCCAAGGAGGGCAGATCATCTGAGGTCAGGAGTTAAAGACCAGCCCAGCCAACATGGCGAAACCCCGTCTCTACTAAAAATACAAAAATTAGCTAGGCATGGTGGCATGCACCTGTAATCCCAGCCACTTAGGAGGCTGACAGAGGAGAGTCACTTGAACCCAGGAGGTGGAGATTGCAATGAGCCAAGATGGCGCCACTGCACTCCAACCTGGGTGACAGAACAAGACTCTGTCTCAAAAAAAAAAAAAAAAAAAAAGGAGATTTCAGTTCTGTCAGAGATTTGAGAGTGGGTGATACACAGAAACCCAAGCATATTAATAACTATTTTATTAATTCCAAATAAAAGAATACTTTGTCCAGAAATGCAAAGATAATTATAATACATTAAATGGATCCACTGTGAGTAATGATAATGTAAATGCCAAATTAATCAAACTGAGAGTTACAACCTGACTGAGAGAATGGGGGAGCATGGAGGGTATGTGTGTGGGGAATTGATTAAATAAACTGTCATCTTCCTCAACAGGAAGTCCAAACATCATCTCAAAATTTAAACATTAGGAAAGAGCAAAACACAAATCTACTTAAGATACGGTAAGGAGAAACAACTAAAGGATTTTTAAATTATGTGTATTTATTACTTTGAATACACAAACACTTAATGTATACGTACACACACGTATACACATATGTACACACACATAAATAGATTTGATGATAAATATAAAGATATAGACAAATAGAGAGATAGAGAGATAGACAGAAGTAGATAGTTAATGGATAAGATAGATATAGAAAGGAGATAAATGGACGAATGGGTGGATGATAGATGGGTAGAAAAATAATACAGAGGTAGATGATTGATAGAATAAATAGATGATACATAGATAGAGATAGATGGATGATAGGTAGATAGATGATAGATACATAGATAGCA
This sequence comes from Homo sapiens, assembly GCF_000001405.40. NCBI lineage: Eukaryota > Metazoa > Chordata > Mammalia > Primates > Hominidae > Homo > Homo sapiens. The sequence continues at coordinate 6,419,004 of NC_000010.11, read as the reverse complement.
AGATAGATAGATAGATAGATAGATAGATAGATAGATAGATAGATAGATATTAGATAAGATAGATATAGAGATGAGATAAATGAATGGACAGATGGATGGATGAGTAATAGATGGATAAACAAATAATATGGAGACAGATGATTGACAGAATAGATAGATGATACATAGGTAGATAGATGGATGATAGATTGATAGGTAGGTAGGTAGACAGATGATTGATAAATAGACAGACAGGCTCTCTCCCTGGAAGGTTGACAGTTCCTTGAGCTGGGACTGAAAAAGCACAGGAAATATAACTTTATCAGACACATTTAGAGGGTTTTTGAGCTGAGGTTTCAGTTATGATGGATCAGTCGCCAGGCTTCCCTCTGACTCTATGGTCCTGTAATTAGCCACAGGAGTTTGGGTGGAAAGGAGCACTGAGGGCTCCTGAGCTGAATGCCAGGGGTCGGGTGAGGATAGGGAAAGTCTCTTAAGGAGTGGTGGGCAGGTATTCCTTCCTCTTTTCTGTAGTAACACATGAGAGGGGGAGAAAGCAGGGGAGGAAAGGATGGAAACAAAGAAGGAACCAGACTTTGCTTTGCTTTCCACCTCCTGGGGACGTCAGAGCCGGCCCAGACTGATCTCTGCCATGAAGGAGCACGGATTCTTCCCAGTGTCCTAAGCCCTGCCTATCAGCTCTTTGTCATTCATCAGCATCCACTGGCAAGAGAAGAATGTCAAGAAAGTTTAGTGATCTAAGAATTTTTTTCCAAGCCTCAGAGGTTTTAGAGATGCATCTTTTCCTTTCTTTTTAATACATCCAAAGGTTCTGCGACTTCACAGGTGATATTTTAAAATACAAACAGCAACACGTAATGAATTTTAAATCAAGGATGTTGTTATTTGGAAAAAGTCAGTTAGAACTCTTGCTGTCAAATACGCTTTCAGAAGAAACAAGTTTTGGAGGAGCCTGAGAAGGCTCATAAGACAAGAAGACGGGCATCTGGGAGATGACGGAAGAAGGCGCGCCTCTGGGAGATGGGGGAAGGAGACCCATGTCTGGGAGATAGCGCCTCTGCGAGTTGGTGAAAGAAGGCATGCCTCTGGGAGGTGGTGGAAGTGAAGGGACTTTTGCTGGGAGCAAGCACTGTTGAGAAGCTGGAGATGTAGGAATGACATTAAAAATCTAAAGTTACTTCAGCCACTAGAGAGCCAAGGGACATGGAGTGACAGGAAGGACTCCAACAGAACTCACTGTTTCCCTTCTCCCAGCATGTCCTGGCTGCTCACCTGGCTGGATACTCTCACCTGGCTGTGCACCTGGATTCTCGACTGAATGTTCACGTGGCCACTCTATCGTCCAGCTAAGGCAACATTGGAAGCTCAGGGTCTAAGGCAGCCACCATCGGGGAAGATGCCAGGACAAGCATGGATGGATCAACAGATTCTGAGCATCACGCTGGCATCGTTTTAGATCGCACGCATTCCGAACATCAGAACAGTTACGTCAATTCGAATTTGGGGTTTGACCGAAATTGAACTTGAATGTGGATTATCTAAGTAAAATCTAGAGAAGAAAAGAATTTCTCTGCAGGTGCATGTAATAATCACCACAAGGTTATTGTTTTTTGTTTTTGGTTTGGTTTTTTTCCAGTGCTGCAGGCTTTAAGAAGCTCTGGGTGTCCAACCAAAGACACAAATCTGAAAAACAAGTGGAAAATCTAACTCCAGCAAAGCCTACTCAAATTTCAGTCAGTATTTCAAAATAACAACTGATGACATCCACCCAACAGAAACTAGAAACTACCCACTTTTAACTGCCCCTGTTTTCCTCCTCGACCCTCTCCTCCTCCCACTTAAGGACAAGACACCTATTTCATGTTGCCATGGAAATTGTGCTTTTAAGGTTTTCCTGAGATAACATTGGTTATATGGTGAGGTGGAGACCTCTAGTGTCCCAAACTTGTATTTCCTTTAAGAATACATTACAGGAGTGGTGTCTAGGATGGTGAATTTATCAAGAGGAAAGTTGAGCCTGCTGACCAGGTCTGGCTATAAAATGACCAAATCCCAGAGTGAAATAAGAAGAAGAATCATACCACCTTACTCCTGCAAGAATGATCATAATTTAAAAGTCAAAAAATAATAGATGTTGGCAGGGATGTGGTGAAAAGACAACACTTTTACGCTGCTGGTGGGAATGTAAACTAGTACAACCACTGTGGAAAACAGTGTGGAGATTCCTTGAAGAACCAAAAGTAGAACTACCATTCAATCCAGCAATCCCACTACTGGGTGTGTACCCAAAGGGAAAAAAAGTCCTTCTATGAAAAAGACATTTGCACATGTATGCTTATAACAGCACAATTCACAACTGCAAAGATATGAAACCAACCTAAGTGCCCATCAACCAATGAGTGCATAAAGAAAATGTGGTCTATATACACCATAGCACACTACTCAGCCATAAAAAGGAATGAAATAATGTCTTTTGCAGCAACTTGGATGGAGCTAGAGACAATTATTATAAGTGAAGTAACTCAGGAATGGAAAACCAAACATCATATGTTCTCATTTATAAGTAGGAGCTAAGCTATGAGGATGCAAAGGCATAAGAATGAAATAATGGACTTTAGGGACTCAAGGGGAAGGGTGGAGGGGCTGAGGGACAAAGGTCTGCACAGTAGGTACAGTGCACACTGCTCAGGTAATGGGTGCACCAAAATCTCAGAAATCACCGCTAAAGAACGTATCCATGTAACCAAAAACCACCTGCACCCCCAAAAAAACTATTGAAATAAAAAATTCAATTAAATTTTAAAAAAAGAAGAATCTTTGTATTTTGCACTCATTGTATGTCTGCTCAATCATATCAAGAATCCAAATGGCTATATCCTAATAAATATTTGATTCCTACAGGCTTATTTGCCAAGTATTCTATAAAGTGGTCCATTCCTTTTTCAAAAGAGGAAAACAGGCCAGGCATGGTGGCTCATGCCTGTAATCCCAGCACTTTGAGAGGTCGAGTCGGGCATATCACCTGAGGTCAGGAATTCAAGACCAGCCTGGCCAATATAGTGAAACCCCATCTCTACTAAAAATACAAAAAATTAGCCAAGCATGTTGGAGGACACCTGTAATCCCAGCTACTCAGGAGACTGAGGCAGGAGACTCTCTTGAACCCAGGAGGCGGAGGTTGCAGTGAGCCAAGATCACACCACTACACTCCAGCCTGGGCAACACAGCAAGAGACTCTGTCTCAAAAAAAAAAAAAAAGAGAGAGAGAGAGAGAAACATTAGCAGCAATTGTCAACAATGGGGCTTCATTTATAATTTGACCCAAACAATCCCAGAATAGTACAAACATATGGTTCTGGGGATCTCAGCGCAGAGGGAATTCTACAATGGCAGTGACCAGACTTTAACCACTGGTGTGCAGTATGACTTGTTCCCTCCACCTTACCACAAGCTTGTTCTCATGCCTTCACCTCCTTAAGCTAAATTAGAAAGTTCTTAACCTGAAGTTCATGAATGAGCTGAAATTTCCTGTAAATTTTGAGTAAGTGTATATATATATATATATATATATATATATATATATATATATATATATATATGTATTTTCTTGGGCTTAAGATTTTCTCTTTATCACTAGGTTTAAGAAATTTGATTACAATATGTGTTGGTATCGTTTTCTTTGGTTTCTTGTGCTTGGGGTTCATTGAGCTTATTGGGTGGTGTGGATTTAAAGTCTTCATCAGGCCAGGCGCAGTGGCTCACACCTGTAATTCTAGCATTTTGGGAGGCCGAGGCGGGTGGATCACTGGAGCTCAGGAGTTGAAGACCAACCTGGCCAACATGGCAAAACTCCATCTCTACTAAAAATGCAAAAATTAGCTGGGCATGGTGGCTCACAACTGTAGTCCCAGCTACTCGGGAGGCTGAAGCTGGAGAATAGCTTGAACCCAGGAGACGGAGGTTGCAGTGAGTGGAGATTGCACCACCGCACTCCAGCCTGGGTGACAGAGCAAGATTCTGTCTCAAAAAAAAATTAAATTAAAATTAAAAAATAAAGTCTTCATCATACTTGGAAAGTTGGAGGCCATTATTTCTTTAAATGTATTTTCTGTCTCCTCCTCCTTTGGGTCTCCAATTGCATATATATTTGGCCACTTGAAGTAATCCCATAGTTCATTGATGTTATGGGGGTTTTCTTTCTTTTTTTTTTTTCTTTATCACTTTTATCTCAGGGTCTTGGATAATTTCTATTGCTATGTTTTCAGATGTACAAATCTTTACATGCATACAAATATTTTCTTTGTAATATCTAATCTCCCATTAATCCTAATCAATGTATTGATTATCTCAGACATTATAGTTTTCACCTCTAGAACTTCAATTGTTAAGAGATATTTTATGTCTAGACTTAATGTGTTCAATACTTCTAGCTTTTTGAATGTATGGAATGCAGTTATAATAATACATTGAATGTCCTTGTCTATTAATTTTATTATCTGTGTCATTTTGGGGTCAGTTTGATTTGTTGATTCGTCCCCTCCTCATTTATTTTTCTGTTTCTTTGTGTGCCCGGTAATTCGTTATTAATGTTGAATGTCAATACTTTTTCTTTGGTGAGAACTGGACATTTCTGTATTCTTAAAAACAGTTTTGAGCTTTGTTTTGTGATGTGGTAAAGTTACTTGGAAATTGGTACTTTCAGATCTTGCTTTAAATTTTACTGGAAAAGATCAACAAAATGTTTGATCTAAGGGTAGTTTTCCCCACTGCTTAAGATCTCCTGCAGACCTCAGGATTTCCCTTTCTCCAGTCACTGCCCTGTGAGCCCCAGCTGCCTGGGACCCTCTGGACTCTCTGTTCTACCTACATGACTCAGGGAACCTTCCGGAGTCACCTTGAGTTCCCCACGCATTTGCTGTGCCCTTGAAACCTTCTCCAGGTAGGAAAGTGCTACAATCTTGGGGATCACCTTATTTGCTCCCCATCTTTCAGGGACCACTGAGATTCTTTCTGACCTGATGTCCAATGTCGTCAGGGCTGTTATTTATTGTTAGATTTTGGTTGTTTCTGGTGGGAAGGCAAATCCAGTTCCTGTTACTTCACCTTGGCCAGCAGTGGAAAGCTCAAATATTTTTCTTTTAGCTGTTTAATCCAGTGCTTCCTAGTGTGTGTGTGTGTGCACGCGCACAAGTGGCATTTAATCCAGTGCTTCCTAGTGTGTGTGTGTGCACAAGTGGCATTTAATCCAGTGCTTCCTAGTGTGTGTGTGTGTGCGCGCGCACAAGTGGCATTTAATCCAGTGCTTCCTAGTGTGTGTGTGTGCACAAGTGGCATTTAATCCAGTGCTTCCTAGTGTGTGTGTGTGTGCACAAGTGGCATTTAATCCAGTGCTTCCTAGTGTGTGTGTGTGTGTGTGCACAAGTGGCATTTAATCCAGTGCTTCCTAGTGTGTGTGTGTGTGTGTGTGCACAAGTGGCATTTAATCCAGTGCTTCCTAGTGTGTGTGTGTGTGTGTGTGTGTGTGTGTGTGACATAATTTTTTATCCTCCCATGTCTACATCTTCCTAAGGATTAAAAATATTCATGTTGAAGAATAGGTTGTTGCAGAGGAGCCCAGGGAATGTAGGGAGATACTGTTTTTATTGGTGACATTGATGAGAAGTTTTAATATTTATATTTCATTTGTTTTTGCTGTTTAAAGTAAGCCTAACTTTTTTAGAGTGGTTGAAAACATAGAAAATTGTGATGTTTAAGGCCGGGCAGAGTGGCTCACGCCTGTAAGCCCAGCACTTTGGGAGGCCTAGGCGGGCTGATCACAAGGTCAGGAGATCAAAACCATCCTGGCTAACATGGTGAAACCCCGTCTCTACTAAACATACAAAAAATTAGCCGGGCGTGGTGGCGGGTGCCTGTAGTCCCAGCTATTCAGGAGGCTGAGGCAGGAGAATGGCGTGAACCCAGGAGGCGGAGCTTGCAGTGAGCCGAGATGGAGCCACTGCACTCCAGCCTGGGCAACAGAGTGAGACTCTGTCTCAAAAAAAATAAAAATAAAAAATAAAATTGTAATGTTTGTACAGAAAACTAGAGTACACGAGCAATTGTGCTCATAAGTGATTGTGGAAGGCAGCAACCAGCCTAGGAGTACTGACAATACCAGGCTGTACCTAGTGGCCCACTGAGGGATCAATAACTCAAGTCACTTGTAACCCGCTTACGCTATACCAGTGTGCACATTGGTCAGGAGGTTCTGATCTAATCAATCATGAATTTAATATATGACGTGAGATAGGCATCTAACCTTATTGATTTTCCAAATGGATAACCAAGTGACTCAATGCTGTTTTCTGAATGGATCTGTCCTTCCCCCACTGACTTAAAATTCTATCTTTGTTGTGAATTATTTTACCATACATATCTTTGCGTATCTTTGAATATCACCTGTTATGATCTATTGAGCTGTTTGTTCTAACATCGAGAACCAAGTGTTTTGGTTGTTATCACTTTATAGCATGCTTTGATATCTTAGCAAGGCAGTTCTTTTAGATGTTTTTCTTCTATATTCTTACACATGTGCTATTAAAAATGAACTTTAAAGTTAGCTTTAATTTCACTTTTTAAAACTCCCTTTTGATATTTTTATTGGAATTCCATTGAATCTCTAAACTGATTTGAGGATGATAAATTTCTTTTACATCTTAAAGCGAATTCGAAGATAACTAAACACTCCTTTGCCCAAATATGACTTTAGAGTCTTCTTACCATAAATCCATCACATTTAAAAGTCACTCCTCTTTTCCCAAGCATGATGGCATATGCCTGTAGTCCTAGCTACTCAGAGGCTGAGATGGGAGAATCTCTTGAGTCGAGGAGCTTGAGCTATGATGGCACCATTACTCTCCAACTTGGGCAACAGAGGAAGACATCATCTCTTAAAAAAATAAGTTTCTCCTCAACTTCCAGCTATTGTCTGGGTTCATAGGCTAATTTTGCCAGTGACTGAATAAACTTGAGGGAGTACTGAGATGCTGGGCATTTTTGTGTTTATCAAAAAGACTTAGTATCTATCAAATACTTAGAAGTGTGTGTGACCATAGTAAACAAATAAGTGTTATCTATCATCATCATCATTATATGGCATTACTATCCCTGTAAAACACTTCATCCTAAACCCTTTGTGTTTATCTCTCTGAGCTTTGATAAGATGTGGCCCTCAGGTGACAGTGATGAGTAGCCAACTCATAATGTAAACTATGTACCAGGGTCAGCAAATGTTTCTGTAAAGGACAATTTAGCCAATATTTTAGGTTTTGACAGCCATACAGTCTGTGTTGCAACTACTCAACCCTGCTGTGCAAAAACAGTCACGGCCAATACGGAAACAAATGGGTGTCCCAATGAAACTTTACTTACAGAACAGGGTTCGGTCTAAAGGCTAAATTTGCCAATCTCCAGACAAAATCAGGAAGTCAGTTTTATTTGTTTTTGATGTCCTTCTATTGTGTTATTATGATCCCTTTTTTCAATCACTTACCACCATAGGAATTTGTCTCCTCCTAGGGAAAATATCACCGGACCTTTTGGAGATTTCTGAGGCTAGAGTGATGTTTCTGGAATAACTGTCAAGCAATGCCAAGTTTTCCCAAGGGGCATGAGGAAAAAAATAATCATAGCTAATATTTACTGAGTGCCTACTATGTGCCAGGGAACTTTCTAAGTGCTTTAAATACATCAACTCCTTTAATCTCCATAATGACTATAAAAGGGAGGGGCTATGATTGTCCTCACTAACTGATAAAGAGCTTAAAGAACAGAAAGCCGAAATACTATCAGATAATTGAGTCCCTCTATGAACTATGTAGACTCCTCTCTCATTATAAGCTAGAGGCTACAAAATATACCGATGACCTAAGAACAATTGATTTTTCCGTAAAACTCAAAGATCAGCGTGCTAGCTCTAATCGTCCGCCGTGTTTCTCAACAGGGATGATTGGCATCTTGGAATGGACCTTTTTTTTTTTTTTTTTTTTTGAAACGGAATCTCACTCTGTCGCCTGGGCTGGAGTGCAGTGGTGTGATCTCGGCTCACTAAAACCTTCACCTCCCGGGTTCAAGCGATTCTCGTGCCTCAGCCTCCCCTGGGATTACAGGCACCCGCCACCACGCCCAGCTGGTTTTTGTATTTTTAGTAGAGACAGGGTTTCACCATGTTGGCCAGGCTGGTCTTGAACTCCTAACCTCAGGTGATCCACCCGCCTTGGCCTCCCAAATTACTGGGAATACAGGTGTGAACCACTGCACCCTGCCAGACAAGACTATTCTTTGCTGGGTGGAATTGCTCAACTCATTGTAAGACATTTTGTCTACCTGGCTCCCAAGCACTAAATGCCAATCATGCCCACCACCAACACCCCCAGGCTATTTTGAAAACCCAGATGCCCCTGTGCATTTCCAAACACCACTGCTACTTAGAGCCCTGGGTGATGTCATTGTTTTGAGTTAACCTCAGCAGCTGCTGACCTAGAAATAAAGCCCCACCCTCTGCCCTACATTTCCTCCCAAGAAGGCAGCAGCTTCACTCAGCTGGTATGATGGAGTATTCCAAACAGAAAACCAGCTGTGATCTCTGGCACTTCCAATTCCAATTAAGAGCTTTGTTCATTTAACTTAAGGATTTACATCACTTTAACATATCTTGTCAAGTAAGTAACACTTGAAATGACCCCATAAATGTCCCTTAAGAAGAACAAATTGCAAATCATCTCAAAAGGAAACAACAGATCATCAGACCAAAGCAGGAAATAAGAAAGGCCTGAGAACAGCTGGGTAACAGCATTTCAGCTCATCCAAGGAAGCCTAGGATTTCTTGTCAGTGGTAAGTAATGGCTATTGAATGCAACAGGAAGAGCGTGGAGACATTCGTTGAGCAGTGAGTAGCCCAGAGGGTAAAAGGGCTGACTTGCACTCCTTCCCCTTCATAGTTTATGAGCTTCTGCCAATCTTCTTCCAATGGAGAAGCTGAGCAGGCTCTTAAACTTTCTGTTTGTCGTGGCAACAAACAGCTTTTTAACACATTTCACCAAGGCATAATGAACTAACCTTTCTACATTATAAGACTTGTAATTTTGGCATTGGAGTAACTGCATGAACACAGAGACTTTATCTTAGCTTGCTATCTTAATTCTAGCTATTTTTCCCATTCCATGAAAATGATAGCTTTTCAATATATCAATATTTATGCTACATTATCTCCTCCAAGCTATAAAAAAAAAACCTTCTGTAGAGTTACCCACATTTAATCTAAATGGAAGAAAACATATTATCAAAACTGTGTCATTTGAAAGTTCTTTCAGGAATAGCTGAAATGAAATTCCAATTGGAAATTCCAGAAAGTGTATGTAAAATGAAAAAGAGGCCAGGCGCAGTGGCTCACACCTGTAATCCCAGCATTTTGGGAGGCCGAGGCGGGCGGAGCACTTAAGGTCAGGAGTTCAAGACCAGCCTGGCCAACTTGGTGAAACCCCATCTCTACTAAAAATACAAAAGTTAGCCAGGCACAGTGGTGCATGTCTGTAATCCCAGCTACTCAGGAGGCTGAGGCAGAAGAGTCGCTTGAACCTGGGAGGCAGAGGTTGCAGTGAGCCGAGATCGTGCCATTACACTCCAGCCTGGATGACGGAGCAAGACTCTGTCTTAAAAATAAATAAATAAAATAAACTAAAACAGAAAAAGAAATAGATACTTCAACTTCTGGCTGCGGGGAACACCCATATTAATGCCTGTTCTATAAGGTCACAAGCAACATACATCCAGATTTCATTCTTTTTCCACTGTCCTCCTTGGGCCAGTTACTAGTGGATGGTGACAAACAACCTTGGTCACTTAAAACACTAATTTCCTTTCCCCTCTCTCTCACTGTGAAAATGAAAAACCAGTATATATCCATGAGACTGGCAAAACTTGAAAAGTGAGACCAGAAAGCAAACTGCACAAAATTCACTTCATGAATCCCCTGCTGATCAAAGTGTAAACTGCAACAGTAGCTTCGGAAAACAATTTGGAATTGACTAGTAAAACTGAATCTGAACATGCTCTATGACCACCGTTCCACTTCTGCGTAAATTCATATTCAAGCTATTACCAGGAGGCAGTGTAAGAATATGGAGAGCAGCATTGTTCATAACAGCAAAAACCTATCAACAACCTAAATCCCATAAACGTTTGAGTGGATAAATAGCATCTTCCAATGAGTTAATAAACAGCTACTAACATCTCCAAAAGAAAGACAACTGGGTCTCAGGAAATGTTTATCACATGAAGAACAGAATACTCTCTCTAAAGCAGTCTTGCCAAGGCTAGGCGCAGTGGCTCACGCCTGTAATCCCAGCACTTTGGGAGGCCAAGGTGGGAGGATCACCTGAAGTCAGGGGTTCAAGACCAACCTGGCCAACATGGTGAAACCCCATCTCTACTAAAAATACAAAAATTAGCTGGGTGTGGTGGCAGGCGCCTGTAATCCCAGCTACTTGGGAGGCTGAGGCAGGAGAATCACTTGAAGCCAGGAGGCAGAAGTTGCAGTGAGCTGAGATCTAGCCAGTGCATAGCGGGGGCGACAAGAGTGAGACTCCATCTCAAAAAAAACAAAAAGTGGCCTTGCCAAAAAAACTAAATCCATCAATCAAACCTGAGTTTGGTCAAATGTCTATGTCCAAGTACTAATTTGTAAGAAATACAGAACACAGAATAATATGTCAAAGTACACCCTGGAGATGTAATCAGCAAAATCTAAACTGAGCAATTCCCTAAGATAAGTGTCAATAAATAAATTGCAAGGAAAAGTAGGGGAGATAAAACTATAGGTCCAATACAACTTAAAAGACATCAGTGAATCACAGTATATGGCCCTTATCCGGATCCTGATTCCAAAAAATGTAAAAAAAAAAAAAAAAAAAAAAAAAAAACTGACACAAGACCACTGGAAATTTGAACAACTGACTAAAGACTTGATACTACTAAACATTAATGTTAATTTTCTTGGTGTGATAACAGTATTGTGGCTAGGTTTTAAAAAGAACATTTTTAGAGAAGTTTCAAGATAGATATATCATTTTATACTTATTTACAAATACACATAAGGATTTTACAGATAAAATGATATGATATATGGGATTTGCTTGAATACTAGGGAGAATGAGTTAGGTGGGGATATGGATGAAACAAAATTGGCCATGAATTGAATCTAGATAATGGGACCATGGAGATTCATTACACTGTTCTGTCTGTTACATGAACACACACACCACACACACCATGTATGTACACGTCACATGCACATACCACACACATTCATTCACATGCAACCCATATACACACATCATATATGCGAACACCACAGATGTGCATGTCCCATGCACATACCACACACAATCACACATTCACACGCCATACACACATGCCATACACACACATGAACACACCATACACATGACACAAACACCATACATACACACCATACACACACACACACACACACACACTGAACATGTACACCACACATGCATGCATGCGCACACATGTAGCTTTCCAAGCACACCACATGCTTGCTTCTGGGCCCGACACAAGCTGCTGCCTGGAAGTCATTCCCCCTCACTTGAACGCCTCCTCCTGATTTCTGCTCCAATATTGCCCCCTCCAGATGCCTCTTATGCCCCCACTCATCCCCTCACACCCCCCACACCCCGGCACCATGCACGCCCACTGCATTCAGGACTGGGTGCTCGCTTACCTGCAAGCTCAGCCGGCATGGGATTGCATCTTCTCTGTCTCATGTCTCCAGCCCGCAACAGAGCTGAACATTTGCAGAGTGAAAGTTGGATAGATGAATTACCAAATTCTTTAGAGTGATCTGTTAGAACCCATAGCTCTTTTTGGGTTTGTGAAATTAGAAAAATGATGCCTGTGGTTTTTAAACTTCACTCATTGATCTTTTCAAAGGGCTTTACCCCCGAGGAAATACAAAGGATGGTATATTTTGCATATTCGAAGTGCATTCGTTCATTTCAACTTTATTAGCTGTGCTTAAATCATCATACTGAAAATGCATGTTTCTGTACTCATATGAGACATTCTAATTAATCTTACACTAGATCAACCAAACATTTGCATCTTGTAGCTGAAAAGTATCGTTTAAAAGTGGCTGAAACTCTGCTTCCTTGTTGGTTTTGACAGTGGTGAGTGAGTACCCATGGTAATGACGGTGAGCCATTCCCTCAGTGCCTCAGGCGGCACATCTTACTCCAGAATGAACATATTATCATAAGATCTGCACAAAGACATATTCGTTTCATGGCATTATTCAGAACTGTTTTGTGTCTATAAAAATTATAATAGCCTTCTGGTTAAACATAACACATTGACTAGAAAGTGACTCTCTTTTTCCTTTTTCAAAAAAACTTTATTGAAACATTAAAATAAACTGGGAAAGTAATTTAAAATTGTAATTAAAAATTACTCAGTACCATACAACAAATTCTGCATTGGTATAATCTGCAATCACAATTTTAGCCACTGGGGAGCGACTTCAGCAAACATTATTTTACAGCCGAATTCTGGAACCACAGGTTAGAGCTCAAAAGAACACGGGCCCCATTGTGCAAATTTTTCCTACTTTAGTCATGAAAAAAAAAAAAAAGTAGTTTGATTATTTGGTGTTAGAAACTGTCTGGAACACAGTTCTGAATTTTAAAAAGAACAATTTTAGGATGATATAGGCACTCTAAGGCATCTCCAGTTTCTAACATAAGTTAATTCTAACCCAAGGATTTTTCTAAAATGTTGTATATTTTAAATTCACACAATGCTTTAGATTTCACTCCTTATAATCTAATCTCAATTCCAAAGGGCATTATTATCATAATGCTCTTTCTCCATGTTGGTAAAATATGAAAAGTGTTAGTTGCAACAAAGGCCCAAAACAAATGGCCCAAATGTCCTCCAGGATGGGCCCTCTGAATGTGCGAGCTCTTGGTAGCAACATGCCTGACTTGAGGTTATACCAAGAAGAAATCATCATTCCCACTGAGGGTCTCCCAGCTGCATGGAAATGGGACAACATTGGTAACAGGTGCCAACCTGTGAGATTTTGGAGCTGTCATTGCTCCCCATGGGCACATGGGTGCACCAGTCATAGAGTACCATAAAGTAGCCAGCACTCCCGCACTTGTCCTTCAAAGCCTGACCCTTCCAGTAGCAGCAATCAGCTTCCTCTAGACCTAGAATCATGCGACAGTCCATTTGCAAAGAGCAGGATAAAGAACTTGAGCCATCTAGTGGGCTCTTGGGCATAGTTGGGAAGACGCAAGGCAAATTCCCTCTTCCAAAATATCCACCTTCCCATTCCACCACACTTAACACTTGGCTATTAAAAACCTTATTCTTGAGGTCAGAAAGACTTGCGGGGCGCTGGAGTTCCCCAGTGAAAATGCCAATAGCACTGGGTAATAAACACGTAAGTTATTGTCATGGGTGATTTGCAAACCTGCCAGCAAGGCAGTGAGCAGTTCCCTGGGTGGGGTCCAGGACGCAAAAGGAGAGAGTTCACGAAAGTCAAGATGAGAGGACGGCAAACGGAGAGCTGCCCAGTGCACAGATCTGCCTGAAGGAACACTGCTTCCCAAGGAAACACATCTGTTTGTTGTGAAGCTCTCACTATGAAAAACAGAATCTGACCGGGCGCGGTGGCTCACGCCTGTAATCCCAACACTCTGGGAGGCTGAGATGGGCAGATTGCTTTAGCTCAGGAGTTTGAGACCAGCCTGGCCAACATGGTGAAACCCTGTCTCTACCAAAAATACAAAAAATTAGCAGGGTGTGGTGGCGTGCACCTGTGGACCCAGCTATCTGGGAGGCTGAGGTTGGAAGATCACTTGTGGGAGGCAGAGATTGCAGTGAGCTAAGATTGTGCCACTGCACTCCAGCCTAGACAACAGAGTGAGACCCCATGTCAGAAGGAAAGAAAGAAAGAAAGAGAGAGAGAGAGAAGGAAGGAAGGATAGAAGGAAGGAAGGAAGGGAAGGGAAGGGAGGAAGGAAGGAGGGAGGAAGGAGAGAGAGAGAGAAAGAAAGAAAAAAGGAAAGAAAGGAAGGAAGAGAAAGAAAGAAGGAAAGAAAGAAAGAAAGAAGGAAAGAAAGAATGAAAGAGAGAGAGAAAGAAGGAAGGAAGGAGTGAAGGAAGGAAGAAAGGATGGAAGGAAGGAAGGGAAGGGAGGAAGGAAGGAGGGAGGAAGGAGAGAGAGAGAAAGAAAGAAAAAAGGAAAGAAAGGAAGGAAGAAAGGAAAGAGAGAAAGAAAAAGAGAAAAAAGGAAAGAAAGGAAGGAAGAAAGGAAAGAGAGAAAGAAAGAGAGAAAGAGAGAGAGAAAAAAAGAAAGAAAGAAAGAGAAAGAAGGAAGAAAGGATGGAAGTAAGGAAGGAAGGGAAGGAAGGAAGGAGGGAGGAAGGAGAGACAGAGAAAGAAAGGAAAGAGAGAAAGAAAGAAAAAAGGAAAAAAGGAAGGAAGAAAGGAAAGAGAAAGAAAGAGAGAAAGAAAGAGAAAAAAGAAAGAAAGAAGGAAAGAAAGAAAAGAAAGAACGAAAGAAAGAATGAATCCATTGTCAGAGTCTGGCATGGAAGAGGGTTTTTTATCTGAACATTGCAAGTATTTGAGTTAGACCTCTGGCCATGCAATCTCTCTCTCTCTCTCTCTCTCTCTCTCTCTCCCCCCCCCTTCTCTCCCTTTCTCTCTCTCTCTCTCTCTAGTTTTTTCTTTTCTCTTTCTCTTTAATGCCATTAAAGGATTTTTGCCCTTATCTAATCTTGGCAAGGAAAGGGTAGAATTCTGCATTTTTTTATTCTTGCTACTAAAACTGTGACCATAATCCTAAAAATTGTCTCTCAGTTATTAGAATCTGTAGGCACTTTTTCTCCATTTCCTCTCCCCCTTTTTAGGCCTTCGTATCCTGCTATCTCCTATCTTTTCCTCATATGCACCCTAATGTCTTATCTGTCACCATAGAGATTGTAAAATCATGAAGACCTGTTGGCCTAGCATCTGTTCTTAGGAGGAAATAAATGAGTGTGTGTGTGACTTTGGGAACAAAGTATTGCTGAGGCTAATGATTACTCATTCATTTTTTTTTTCATTCATTTATCCCTGAAACAAACAATTATCGAGCACCAACTATGTCTTAGGCACTGGGAATACAAAATTCAGTTAGCATCATGCAGACCCTTTAGCTGTCTCCATTTCAATAGGAGAGATAAACACTGGATTGCAATACATTGTGCTCAGACACAATAATAAGAGGTGCGTAGATTAAAATGGTCTGACACAGCATTTGAAACATCCATATAACACCTTTCCAAAGCTTCCTCAGGCCATGAGCATGGGGAGAAGCTTTGTTTCTGTGGTTACCAAAGGTCTCATCTTAGACCCACCAAAGTCGGCAGAAACCTGAGAGTGAGCCGGGAACTCACGGTTCAGGGACACTGGATATGCCCCAGAGATAGCAGAGGGGAATGAAGACATGAATGCTGAGCTGGGCTCTGCAGGTGTTGGATGGTCAAACCAAGCTGCCTGGATCATTATATAAAAATAACATCAGAAGCACTTTTCTCTTTTCCAAATAGAAGGGACCCTACTCCATAGCCTTGCCCTACTCCGACTAAGACACTGGCAGCGAACTCCTTAGTGTTTGCCACACTATGGTGTCCTTGAGAAGTCTGAATCCTGCCGCACCCCACCTCTGAGTGTCCACCGTCTGCACATTGCCGGAAACTAGGTGTTTTAGCACAGAGCTTCAGGCATGAGAGCGACCAGCAGGGCCGGCCAGTGCCCGGTGCTATGCCTGGCTTCCTTGCCCTGCATGTTGATTGGCAGAGGAGATAAAACACAAAAGGAGCACCAGTGAAGGGATAGGAGAGTAGAGCAAGGTAGAGAGGAAGGGAGGACAGGAAGCAGGGAGGAAAAGCAGCAGCCAGGTGGTCAGGAGATAGTGTGCAGACACTGAATTAAAAAGTGGTCCTAATTCCCTTCATGGAATTCTTTTTGTTTCTATTTGGTTTTGAGACAGAGTCTCATTCTGTTGCCCAGGCTAGAGTGCAGTGACACAATCTCAGCTCACTGCAACCTCCACCTCCTGGATTCAAGTGATTCTCCTGTCTCAGCCTCCAAAGTAGCTGGGACTACAGGTGCCCACGACCACACTTGGCTAATTTTTGTACTTTTAGTAGAAACGGGGTTTTGCCATGTTAGCCAGGCTGGTCTCGAACTCTTGACCTCAAGTGCTGGGATTTACGGGCATGAGCCACCCTGCCCGGCCCTTAATAGAACTCTTAAAGGCCACACAGTGCTTCACTTTATACAAGAAAGCTCGGAACAGAAAAAGTAGTTACTGCCACTCTTCTTTGAAATTGTTAAGTCCCCTTTGCTTCTTTGGGTACACGGAGAAGTTGCCAAGGCAACCCGAGCAGGGAGATGCGGAGTCAGGCTTTTCTGTCTGTGTCCTTCATGTTGGGTACAGTGCTTCACACATGGTAGGCGTGAGGGAGGAAAGAGCGGAAGGAATAGATGAAGCTCAGCTTTTTTTTTTTTTTTTTTTTTTGGCATTGAAATTGCACTCTTTTGGGGTTTTTTAAAATTATAGTTTAAGTTCTGGGGTAGATGTGCAGAACACGCAGTTTTGTTACATAGGTATGCACGTGCCATGGTGGTCTCCTGCACCCATCAACATTAGGTATTTCTCCTAATGCTATCCCTCCCCTAGTCCCCAATCCCCCAACAGGCCCCGGTGTGTGATGTTCCCCTCCCTGCGTCCATGCGTTCTCATTGTTCAACTCCCACTTATGAGTGAGAACATGCGGTGTTTGGTTTTCTGTTCTTGTGTTAGTTTGCCGAGAATGATGGTTTCCAGCTTCTTTGCAGCGTCTGTGTTCTTCCAATAGTTCCCAGCCGCACTATTTTGGACTTGAGTCACTAGAGGGAGGCAGAGGAACATGAAAAAGCTGCAGTTTCCGTCCCTGCTGGGCAGGGCTGCCTCAGACCTGAGCTGAGGACTCAGGAACTTCAGTGACCAGGCAGGATTAGAGATGGGAAGAATTCCAGGCTTCAGCCTTCCCCTTAATTCAAGATGTGTATTCTGCCTTTAATCAGAGTGTAACCTATGTATTTGTAGGAAATAATAAGAAAAAAGCTGCTTATTGCAGAGCCATGTAGAATTATCGGGTGGAAGTCAGAGAAAGAGACGGCGGGTCAACAGCTCCCAGCAGACAGCGTGACTCAGCAGGAAAGCCCGTGGGAATCAGAGCTTTGGGACCAGAGTGCCCTGGCCCCGCAATCCTCACCAAGTGGCTGGCGCTCAGAACCCCAGGTGTTGTAATCAGTAAAAGGGTGGCGGTAATCACTTCTACCTCATTGGGTTACTATACAAAGCACGAAAATGGATCAATATTTAAAAAAAAAAAACCAGCCCTCTCCTAAAACAGAGGAGAACTATATGGATGTCAATCCAATTATTACTATTAACCATGTGTTCAAGTCATGAGGTTGTCTACTTAATTATGTCCTTAAAGTTTGTTGACCTTAAATAAGGTGATACAGAAAATATGATGAAGTATGGGGTTTATTTGAGTACAGAGCTTGAGAACGGTCACCCGGAAAACACAGACCCCAAAGGGACATGCTCTAAAGTGGGGAAGCTAAGGCTGTGCTTACATAGGTAGAGATGGTTTCGGCAGGTTGCAATGTTTTCCGTGCAAGGCTAGATACATGTCATAGCGATTTGATTAGGGTGGCTTGCTCCATTCCATGGAAGATGGCTGTAATGTTCTGTGAGGACAAGAGTAATGTTCTGAGGGGTCACCACTCAGAGGGTCTTATTTCTGGTGCTACTCGGTCATTCCTAATCGTTTACGGGAAAAAGCAGAAGTTGCAACGGCATGCTATGTGACTCAGTCCATTTCTCTCAAGGCTCAGAATAAAGTTCCAACAGTTTTAAATTTGAATTATTTAATTTTGCAAGTTCTCCAGAAGACAGTAAGCTCTAAAAGGGAACGAACTATGGTCGTTGTTCTTAGCATCTAACATGGTACCCATTCAATATTTTTTCTTTCTTTCTTCTGCTTTTTGTAGAAGTGGGGTCTTTCTATGTCGCCCAGGCTAGATTTGAACCCCTGGGCTCAAGCATCGTCCCACCTCAGCCTGCCGAGCACCCAGGACTGTAGGTGCATGCCAGCTGGCAGATTTTTTTTTTTTTTTTCAGTTTCTTAAATGAATGAGTAAAAACACTTACATGTAGCCAAACCATATAATTTACTAGCTAAAATGAGCCTTTTTTTTTTTTTTTCTGAAAGGAAGCACTGTTAGCAATTACTCCAGGAAACAGGTTAAAAGCAGAACTGTCCTGGGCCTGCCGAGACACGGGACGTGGGATTGCTCGAGAGATCCAGCTCTCGCTGTGTGTTGAAATATAGTTCAGGGCACACTGCTCAGGGCTGGGACTGCCCTGCGTATATGACAGTATTAAGTCATCTCACCTGCATAACAACACAGCGAGGTTGGTACTGTGACTACTCACATTCAACAAATGTGTATGGACCACCTGCTGTCTTCCAAGTCTTCCAGAATCTTGGAATGCATCAAAACACAACAAGCAAGATGTCTGTCCTTTCAGAGCAGGAGATGAGGAAGACAGACAGTAAATCACAAACATAGCAAACAAGTAAATTACATAGTTTGCTAAAAGGTACTGGGGCTACAGATGAAAGAAGGGCAGAGCCGGGGGATTCAGTGTTGAATGAGGAAACTCAGGTAGAGAACACCAAGTCAGCAGCCGACATCTCCAGCTGGCTAGTAACAGAGCCCCATTCTAACTTGGGCAATCTGGCCACGTTCCTGCTCTTCACCTGGACTCTGCCTTCTCTTTCAGTTCTGACGTGCGTCAAACCGTGCAGCATGTTCAAATTCATTCAAATCCATCAGTGGCACAGAAGAACACACAAAATCTGGCAATACTTCCTTGAACTAAACTCAGTGTCCGCCCCCCCAACCCCCGATTGATGCCAGACATTTGCCACCCTGGGGACTTGATCTGAGTGACCTTGGGTTCATAGGAGATGCTGGGCCCTTGGAATTGATTGTCTACCCTGTAGGAATGGAGGCCACATCTCTGTTCTGCCTGGAGAACTTTTTCATCATGAGTTTGTGGAATCCGCCAGCCAAGCCCACCAGACAGGACTAAACAAACGACTCTAGGGGGAAAGGCCAGGCTTCCTGAAAGTCTAAATTGCTTGAACTAATGCTGGCATTTCAGCATTTTGAGCCATTCAAGCCACATGATGTCAAACTTCCTCTCCTCCACCCCCATCTCCTCACCCTGCTCTCTTCTGCCTCTTGACCTTCCTCATCTTGTGGCTCTGGCAAAACTCCAGGGTGGCTATTCAACCTGTCTCAACACACCCTGTGCCAAAAAAAAATAAAAAGAAGGAAAAAAAAAAGGGGGCAATTTCTGTCTCCAGGGCAAGGGCTGCTGGGCTCAGCCGGGTGGATGTTGCCAAGAGCGCAGCAATAGCTCCAGGCTAGGCAGGGAGCACAAAGGAATCTTTAAATTTAAAACTCACTGCAGAA
Source organism: Homo sapiens (assembly GCF_000001405.40). Lineage (NCBI taxonomy): Eukaryota > Metazoa > Chordata > Mammalia > Primates > Hominidae > Homo > Homo sapiens. Next base: position 6,399,351 of record NC_000010.11, on the reverse strand, counting down.
AGGAATTGAGCACATTCTCAACATTCTGAGTCTGTGTGTTTATGTTTAAATATTCCAACCACTAGCTTACATACCATCTAGTAAGTAAATCACGGTGAATATTTATCGAGGACCTACTATATGCAAGGCACTCTGCTCACCATTATTTACTTGTGGGGACACTATGGCTTTCACCCAAAGCTGTCATTCTCTAGGCTGCCTTTTCATATCTACAAAGCAAGGGAGTTTACATTGACAGTCTCCAGAAATTCAGCTTTAATGGCTGGGTGCAGTGGCTCAGCCATTGTATCATTGTATCATTGTATTGATATGCCTGTAATCTCAGCACTTTGGGAGGCTGAGGCAGGCAGATTGCTTGAGTTCAGAAGTTCGAGACCAGCCTGGGCAACATGGTGAAATCCTACAGAAAACTCTATAAAATTTTTTTTTAATTAGTTGGGTGTGGTGGCTTGCACCTGTGGTCCTAGATACTCGGGAAGCTAAGGTGGGAGGATGGCTTGAGCCCAGGAGGTAGAGGTTGCAGTGAGCTGTAATTGCGCCACTGCACTCCAGCCTGGGTGACAGAGCCAGACTGTGTCTCAAAAAAGAAAAGAGAAAAAAAAAGAAAAAGAAAAATTCAGCTCTAAAATTGTGACTCGTTCCTTGCTCTACTGTGAGCATCCTGAAAGCAATTGTGTCTCCTTTCTCTCTCTCTCCCAGCATCTAGCACAGGCCATGACATGGAGGAAATGATGGGTAAACGTCCATTGAGCAAATCAAACTTCTGAAATAAGGCTCTTCAAGAAGGTTTCAACAACCAACCAAAGGCTGACTCACATGCCCACTCCAAATGAATGAGAAAACATATTATAGAATTTTCCTGTTGTTGAACAGCTGGGCACAGAAAGCTTTTTTCCTCCATGAAAGAATATTGACTAACTTATGCAAGCCTCTCAAAATCTAAAAGTATTTTCCAACACACAGTCAAATTATATGACAAACAGCCCTTTATTTTAAAATAAATATCATCTTTTGAAGAACTAAGTTGGAAGACTTACACTTCTTAATTTCAAAACTTACTACACAGTGACAGCAATCAAGATATTGTGGTACTGGCGTAAGACTAGACATGAAAATCAATGGAATAGAATACAGAGTTCATACATAAATAAGCCTATACATTTATGGTCATCGACTTTCAACAAAGGTGCCAAGGGAATGCAAAGGAGAAAAAATAGGATTTTCAACAAATGATGCTAAGAACAGCTGAATATCTACATTCAAAAGAATGAGCTTGAACCCCAATCTCACACCATGCACAAAAAGCAGCTCAAAATGGATGATAGACTTAAATGTAAGAAGTAACACTTATGAGATTCTTAAAATAAAACATAGGGATAAATCTTGACTTTGGGTTAGGCAAGGATTTCTTTCTTTCTTTTTTTTTTAGACGGAGTCTCGTGCTTGTTGCCTAGGCTGGAGTGCAATGGCACGATCTCAGCTCACTACAACCTCCATCTCCCAGGTTCAAGCGATTCTCCTGCCTCAGCCTCCCGAGTAGCTGGGATTACAGGTGCCCACTGCTGTGCCCGCCTAATTTTTTGTACTTTTAGTAGAGATGAGGGTTCACCACATTGGCCAGGCTGGTCTCAAACTCTGACCTCAGGTGATCCACCCACCTTGGCCTCCCAAAGTGCTGGGATTACAGGCATGAGCCACCGCACCCAGCCAGCAAGGGTATCTTAGATACAATATCACAAATATGGAAGCTAGAGGTAAAAGTTGATAAATTGGACTTTCATCAAAATAAACAATGTCTGCACTTTAAACAACACTATCAAGGAAGTGAAGAGACAGCCAAGAGACTAGGAGAAAATATTTGCAAATAATATATCTGATAATGCAATAGTATACAAAATATATAAATATTACAACTCTACAATATGATGACAAAAATTCAATTTAAAAATAGGCAAAGGGGTCGGACATGGTGGCTCATGCCTGTAATCTCAGCACTTTGAGGGGCCAAGAGGGCGGATTGCCTGATGTCAGGAGTTCGAGACCAGCTTGGCCAACAGGTGAAACCCCGTCTCTACTACAAATACAAAATTAGATGGGCAAGTTGGCGCATGCCTGTAATCCCAGCTACTCGGGAGGCTGACGCAAGAGAATCACTTGAACCCGGGAGGCAGAACTTGCAGTGGGCTGAGATCATGCCACTGCACTCCAGCCTGGGCAACAAAGTGAGACTCAAAAAAAAAACAGGCAAATAATTTGAATAGACATTTTTCTAAAGAACATGTGCAAATGGCCATTAAACACATACAAAGATGGTCAACATCGTTAGTCATTAGAGAAATGCAAATAAAACCACAATGAGTTGGCACTTCGCTCCCTAGGATGCCTACAGTAAAAAAGATGGGCAATCGCATGTGTTGACAAGGATGTGGGGAAATTAACCAACATACAGTGCTGCTGGGAATGTAAAATGTTGCAATGCATTTGAAAAATAGTTTGGCAGTTAAATTTTCAACACATGGTTACCATATGACCTAGCAGTTCCTCTCCTAGTTATATATCCAAGAGAAGTGAAAACATATGTCCTAGTCAAAGACATGTGCACCAAGCTTCGCTGCAACATGATTCATAATAGCCAAAAGGTATGAACAACCCAAATGTGCATCAACTGATGAATGGATAGACAAATGTAGTGCCATACTCACACAACAGAACGCTACTCAGCAATAAAAAGGAATCAGGTGCTCTTACATGGTATAATATAAGTCAGCCTCAAGAACATTAAGCTAACTGGAAGAAGCAAGTCACAAAAGACCATGTAGTATATGATTCCACTCATGTGAAATATCTAATGGAAGCAAATCTATCGAGACAGAAAGTAAATTAGTGTTTGCCTAGGGCTTGACATGGGGAGACTGGGGAGTGACCTCTATGGGTACGGAGGCTCTTTGCGGAGTAATGAAAATGTCCTGAAATATGACTGTGATGGCAGTTACACAACTCTGTAAATATATGAAAAGCATTGAATTGTATACTTTAAAAGGGTAAATGTTACGCTGTGTGAATTGTATTGTATCTCAATAAAACTTGTTTTAGTAAAAACATCAACTCTTGAGGGCAAAAAAAGCCTTAGTTTTAGCCAAGTTTCTAACATCTAGCAAATGGCAAGGGGAATTAAATGCTGGAGTCTAGTACTTAGGGGTGACTTTTTACATTTATTATCTATTTAACTATGATAATAGTAGCATCTAAGTTCCCAGGACAGAGATGATATCATTATCGATCGCCATTTGCTATTGGGAAGTTTTAATATCTACTAATGTTTTTCAGTCCCTGGAGCTAGGAAGTCTCACTGCTTGAGGATTCCATTAAGTCTTCCTGCATCTTACTGATGGGGAAAACTGAGGGAACGCTACAATGGTGTATTCAGACCCGTCACGAGAGCTAAATAGAGTGGGAGCAGAGAAGGAAAAGGTTGGCCTCTGAAAAATATACTCAGTACAGGGCACTGACGGTCAGGACCTCGGCAATGTTGGTAATGAAACCGCCATTGCAAAATAATGACTGAGACAGTGAAAGAGATCTGACCTGACTCCGCCTTGCTTCTAACCTCCAAGCTGTCCTTGTTTATTCCTGGGCTGAGCTAACTTTGGGAGGGACTTAGTTTATAGTTTAAAACAAAGACGATAATACCCCTTTCCCAAAACAAACCTCCTTCTTACCTGGGGACTAGACTGCCTTTGTAGAGCTAAGAAATTAGCCACAAGATTAGAAATTATGGTTTAGGAGTCACGCAATTGGAGGCTACGGGATTCTGACCCTCCCTAAGCTGCTCCTAAGATCAGGGCTTGAGATATTTTGCAGATCCTGCACTTGATGGATCAGCTGGTACCTCCTCAGGAGCCTTCTCCCCATTTACCAAATTATTCTTAAAAACTCTGATCCCTGAATGCTCAGGGAGACTGGCTTGAGTAATAATAAAACTCCAGCCGGCCGGGCGCGCTGGTTCACGCCTGTAATCCCAGCCCTTTGGGAGACCGAGGTGAGCGGATCACGAGGTCAGGAGATCGAGACCATCCTGGCTAACACGGTGAAAACCCCGTCTCTACTAAAAGTACAAAAAATTAGCCGGGCACGGTGGCAGGCACCTGTAGTCCCAGCTACTCGGGAGGCTGAAGCGGGAGAATGGCGTGAACCCGGGAGGCGGAGCTTGCAGTGAGCCGAGATCACAGCCACTGCACTCCAGCCTGGGAGACAGAGCGAGACTCCGTCTCAAAAAAAAAAAAAAAAAAAAAAAAGACTCCAGCTTCCTGCACAGCTGGCTCTGTGTAAATTATTTGTTCTCTATTGCAATTCCCCCGTCTTGATAAATCGGCTCCCTCTAGGCGGCGGGCAAGGTGAACCCACTGGATGGTTACAGTAACAGCAAAGGTCGCACCGTTCCGGCACAAGGAAGACCTTCAGGGAAGAGTCATGAAGAGAAGGAGTGAATGATGTATGTGTGGAAGAACAGTATCAAGCTATTCCTCTCAACCATTCTTATTTGACACAATCACTATTTGTTTTTGAGAAAATAGATTATAAAATGGCCCTGCTTCTTGCGAGCAGCATGGATTTTCTTTCTCCTCCTGGGTTTTCAACTGTAACTTGCCCTTTTCTCAGTCAGTTGCTGGGCTGAATTCATCAGTTCAACAGCTGACCCACCGTGGACTGCACGTCTGACGATTTGGCGTATGTATTTACAACACGTATCTGAGAAAGCCGGTGCCCCTGGCACGTAACACTACCCATTCCGAAATGCCGCTGAAGGTCAGAAAAAGGAATGGTGCTGCTCAGTGAAGCTGACAGTCAGAAAGCTGTTTTTTGTTTGTGTTTATGTTTTGCTTTTTGGTCTCTCTTGCATTTTTAGATGTTTGTGTTCTAATTCTTCCCCCTTCTACTCCAGGAGACAAGTGGCAAATGGGAAAAATGACTGACCTAGTTCAAGAACCTGACCATCGGTGGAGTGCTGTGTGCCCTGTGAATGCACAAGCAGACTGCAGAGGCGCCAGGTGTCCTGTCTCTGGAGATCAGGCCACTACACTTACGACAACAAAGGCAGATGGGGGAGGACCCAGAGTGTGTCAAAGTCGTAATCACAAGGCCAGTGCTACACCCTGCTTATCACCAAAGATAAGGAATGAACGACATGACACCTTCACATATAAACTAATCAGAATTTAACATCATACATAAATGGCAGTAGCAGCTTCCTTTTCACATGTATTCTAAGAAATCATTTCCTCCTGCCTCTTCATGTATTAATTTAACATGCATTGATTATCTACCCCATGACAGTGTGCTAAGAAAGTTACAAGCATAAGTAAAGCTCAGACCCTACCATAGACCTAAGATTTTACAATCCAAGAGCAGGGCAGACCTGAACACAAGTATGCATGGTAAGATGCAATGTGTGATACAATTAAAAACACACTGTGATCGGCCTGGCGCAGTGGCTCACACCAGTAATCCCAGCACTTTGGGAGGCCAAGGAGGGTGGATCACGAGGTCAGGAGTTCAAGACCAGCGTGGCCAAGATGGTGAAATCCCATCTCTACTGAAAAAAATACAAAAAAATTAACCAGGTGTTGTCGGGGACGTCTGTAATCCCAGCTACACAGGAGGCTGATGCAGGAGAATCGCTTGAACCCAGGAGGCGGAGGTTGCAGTGAGCCGAGATGGAGCCACTGCACTCCAGCCTGGGTGACAGAGCGAGACTCAGTCTCAAAAAAAAAAAAAAAAAAAAAACACTGTGATCAAACTGTGGGACAATAAGGCACTCCCCCACAAAAGAACTTTCAGACCCCAGATTCTGTGAAATGTCTCTGAGACAGTTGACTAAAAACACACAGTTCCTCCTGCATTTTCAGATTAATGGATTGATATTCTGTGAAGGACCTCCTGTGTCAGGAGTCTGCAAACTACAGCCCATGTACACCAGTCCAGCCTACTGCCTGTTTTCATAAATAAAGTTTTATTGGAACACAGCCACGGTCATGCACTTAGGTATTGTCTGTGGCTGCTTTTACCATAGTGGCAGAGCTGGGTCGTTTAAAAGAGATCACATGTGAAAATATCTACTCTCAGGCCCTTCACAAAAGTGAAGGTGAAAAATATTCACTCTCAGGCCCTTCACAAAAAAAGCCAAACACTTTACTGAGAAAAACATATCCAATATATTTAACAGCAAAGGGTTCACATAAAGAAAACTATAAAATCAAATCAAAGCACCAAAAACAGGTTTGAAGTAAATGGAAGCATATTCTATGATGAAAAGACAATAACAATAACATATATATAGATACACATATACATATAAAAAAACTCTCCCAACAATTAACATACAAATTTAATGTCTTTCCAACTAGTGATACAGGAGTTAAGAAGAAATCACTAAGGCAGATAGTAAGGGTATGGGAGTCCTCGATAAGGTTCTCCTCTTTAAGGAAAAGCATCCCCAAATCCTTTTCTAACAAACAGCAGCCTTAAAGTCGAGCTGCAAACATAGACAAGCAAGCTGGGAGCTCGCTCAGGTGAGTGCTGGGCAGGAACTAGGGACTAGACATGTTCAAGATGGCGGCTCAATCTTTCCTTCTCTTTGTCAGCCACCGGTACAGTGAAGAGCAGGCAAGATGGCCCTGATCAACTGGAAAGCCCATTTGCATAACAAGACTGGTGGGGCAACCAGCCTTCCTTGTAGGCTATGTAAAAGTTGTAAGTAATCTAACCAATCTGTGAGGCCTACATAAATCAGACACCACCTCCTCAAACCGGGCTATAAAATCCGTTGCCACCCAGTCTTTTCCACTTGGAGACTCCTTTCTCTAAGTCGTTTCTCTTTCTCTTTTCTTCTGCCTATTAAACCTCAGCTCCTAAACTCCTTTTGTGTGTCTGTGTCCTAAATTTTCCTGGCGCGATGACGAACCCCAGGGTATATACCTCAGACAATGTAGCCGTTTCACTAATATCTCAATAAGGTTTAGGGGGTTTTTGTTGTTGATTTGTTTTCGTTTTGATTGCTTGCTTTATGCTTAAAATTAAATCATATTATCTTAACATTTATATTATGTGAAATAAATGCCCAAGTATAATCCAAAATTTTCTGGAAAAAAGAGAAAAGGGGAACTTGCTTTAGAAGTTATGAAAAACACTTTTAAGGCACTGTAATAAAATTAACATAATGTTAACGAGGTAATTAACATAATATTGACAAGGTACAGAATCCAAAGGCGATATTTTAATTTCGTGGGGGGAAAGGATGGATTATTGAATGCTATTAGAAAACCTTTAGGTAAAGATGGTGGATTTAACATGTGCATCTATTTTCACTTCTTCCTCAAAAACAAAATGCACTAAAACAATAGCAAAATAACTTTTTTTTTAGCATAAGCCCTCAAAGATAGGGGAGCTGGAAGGATCTACAACTGTAACAACATTTTAAGGAGAGAAACCAGATAAGGAGTAGAAAAAAGACCAAGCCGGAAGTAGAGAGAAATCCTAGGACCAAACTGAGGCAGGCTTTCCCAGAAGCTCAGAAATTCTGTACATCTAGATAAACGTGGGAATAAAAGAAGGGCTAAAATAAAGACAGTTTGTTGAAAGTTTGTTTAAGAAACAGGGCCACATGTCCTCTTCCCCGTTTCAGCAACTAAGCTCCTAGTTCTTCCTACTTTTGCAAAAGACAGTAGGTTTATAGTCAGAGGAGGGTACAACAGAGAGGGTCTCTGGTATGAGGGACACTAAAAGGATGAAGGAAAGGGATTAAATGTATATATGCTGAGATGCCCTCCCCAGCATGCAGAGTCAGGCTTTCAACCCAGGTGAGCTCTCAGTTGAGTTTTCTGTGGGACATGATCAGGCTGAGAGGACAAGAGAGCAGCCCAGCCAAGGAAGTTCTCAAGCTCAATGGTGTAGCCAATTAGTCCTTCTCTAAAGTACACAGTTAACACACTCCACTCACATGCACACAGGTCTATCTGCCTCATAGTCCTGTAACCACCCACTGGGGGTCACCTTGCCCACTGCCTAGATGGAGCTAATTTACCAAGACAGGGGAATTGCAATGGAGAAAGAGTAGTTCACACAGAGCCAGCTGTGCAGGAGACTGGAGTTTTATTATTACTCAAACTAGCCTGCCTGAGCATTCAGGGGTCAGAGTTTTTAAGGATAATTTGGTGGGTGAGGGAAGGCTAGTGAGTCAAGAGTGCTGATTGGTTAGGTCAGAGATGAAATCATAGGGAGTTGAAGCTGTCCTCTTGCGCTGGGTCAGTTCCTGGGTAGGGGCCACAGGATCAGATGAGCCAGTTTATCGATCTGGGTGGTGCCAGCTGATCCATCAAGTGCAGGGTCTGCAAAATATCTCAAGCCCTGATCTTAGGAGCAGTTTAGGGGGGGTCAGAATCTTGTAATCTCCAGCTGCATGACTCCTAAACTGTAATTTCTAATCCTGTGGCTAATTTCTTAGTTCTACAAAGGCAGTCTAGATCCTAGACAAGAAGGAGGTTTGTTTTGGGAAAAGGCTGTTATTATCTTTGTTTTAAACTATAAACTAAGTTCCTCCCAAAGTTAGTTCAGCCCATGCCCAAGAATGAATGAGGACAGTTTGGAGGTTAGAAGCAAGATGGAGTCAGTCAGGTCAGATCTCTTTCACTGTCTTGGTCATAATTTTGCAATGGCAGTTTCAGTTCCCCACTCTAAAATATTAGGAAACAATCACGGATTACAAGATAACTGAAGAAAATCTCTAATAAGGAAGATAAAAGCCAATACAAATAAATAAGGGGGCAGGCAATTTAGAGAAAACAAGCCTATGCATGAAGGGGAAAAAAAAGACTTTCTAAAGAGAAGCTATCACTAACAGCTTTAGAGAGACAAAAGAAGAAACAAGAACAGGTACTATGTAAACGTAACTCAAAGAACAAAATTCTTAAAAATTAAAAATATGATTTCAGACATAAAAAGCAATGGAAGGATTAGAACATAAAATTGAGGAAATATTCTATAAAACAGAGTAAATAAAATAAACAGAGGAAATAATAGGAAAGAAAAGACTGAAAAATTACAGAACCTGTCCTGTGGGTTGAATACCTGTGTAATAAGAGTACAGAAAGCAACAACCGAGAAAATAGATGAGAGAGAACCATCAGTGAAATAAGCCCAAGAAATGCATCAGAATTAAAGGGCATGAATTTAAAGATTAAAAGGTATCACCAATTATTTAATAAAAGAAAACATAGTGTCAGGCCAATTAATATCTCAAAATGTCAGAACACCATGATCATAGACAAGATCCTACAGGCTTCCAAATGGGATAGGAAAAATGTTATTTTCAAAGGTCAGGAATAAGAATGACACCAGATCTCTCAATAACAGCACTAGAAGCTAAAAGGGAATAGAGCAATGTCTTCAAATTCCTGATGGAAAAGCACTCTCACCCTACACAAGTATATCCAGATAAAACATCAAGGAAGTATCAGGATAAAGACATTTTTAACATGTAAGGACACAAAAAGAAAAAAATGTACTGCCCATGCACCAATCTTAAGAAATGAGAGAAAACTCCACCAAAATGAGAGAATAATTAAGAAAGAGGAAAACAGCAAGAGTAAGAAACAGGAGACAGTGAGGAGCCCCAAGATGGCAAAAAGGAGAAATCCCAAGATGACAGCTGTGCAGAGGGCATGGAGTTCAGCTCGCCCAGACGGAACAGGTCAGAAGGCTCCAGGGGAGACCTCTTCAGGGAGATGAAATTGCTAGAACACCTGAAGTCCCTACATGTCTTAAGAAGAGATTTAGATGAAAGAATTGAGAGTTTTATTAGCAACACGTATATAGAAAACAAAGAAAATGAAATATCAAGCTTGGTTTCACTTCAAAGAAAACACAAAGCTGTGTCACAAAGGAAAAGTACGTACAATTTAACAGTAAGGGAAGGGCACATGTGGACTCTGTGCTATTTTTGCCACTTTTTCATGTGTCTAAAACCATTTCAAAAGAAAAAGCAATCACAGTGTATGTGGTAGACAGTCTCTAAAATGGTCTCCAATAACCCCCACCTCCTGAAATTCACACTCTTGCATTGCTCCTCCCCTTGAGAACATGTGGAACCTGTGACATGCTTCTAATCAATGGAATATGACAAAGATGATGAACGCATGTGATTCCATTACATAAGGGTTGCTGGAGCTCTCTCTCCTCTGCTGACTTTGAAGAAGCAAGCTGCCACCTTGGGAGAGCCCCCCATAACAGTCAACTGTGGGTACCCTCCAGAGCCAAGAGAGGCCTCCATCAGGGAGCTAGCAAGAAACCAAAGTGCTCAGTCACACAACCACAGGGAGCTGCATTCTGCCAGCAACCTGCATGAGCTTGGACATGGACTCTTCCCCGGGCAAGCCTCAGATGAGAATACAGCCGTGGCCAACACCTTCACTGCAGCTTTGCGAGACCCTGAACAGAAGGCACAGCTCAGCAATGGCCCAACTCAACAACCCACAGAAACCATGAAATAATCAATGTGTGTGGTTTTAAGCTGCTAAGTTTTTGGTAATATTGTTATGCTCAATAGATAACTAATGCAAACCTTCTAGGCTTAAGTGTGGGTTGGACCTAATGAGTCGTGTCTAGTGAATAGAATACAGTAAAGGTGATGGAGTCTCACTTCTGAGATTAGGTGGCAAAAAGACCTGCTTCCATCTTGTTCTCTTCTTGTTTTTCTTCTAGCTCTGAGGGGAGCCAGCTGCCACACTGTGGGCTACTGATGGAAAGACCTGAGCAGTCAGGAGTTGGTGGTATCTCTGGCCAACAGCCAGCAAGGACTCACGACCTGCAAACCCTACATGAGTTAGCTTGGAAAGGGAGCCTCCCACTGCTGATCCTGGGGACATGGCAGCCCTGGCCAGCAGCCTTCACAGCAGCCTTGCAACAGACCCTGGGCCAGAGACCCCGGCTAAGCCACACCTAGTCTCCTGGCCAGAACCTTGAGATAATAAATGCTTATTGCCTTAAGTGGCTAAATTATGGGGTAATTTGTTACACAGAAATCAATAACCAACACAGTAGACTACATGACTCAGCTTTGAATGGCCTTCCTATAGTCCTCCCAAAGTAAATGTTAAAAATTAATCTGACCGAAACTCGGGGGAATAAGAGATGGGAAAGTTGTGAGTGCATGGTGAGAAGGTAGTGGGGGAAAAGGGAAGCCTTCATTTCCATGGAGGGAAGTCAAAGAAGGGTGTCAAAGACTAAACATAAAATGGAGAGGTAGCAATAAAAGTAAGAACAGTAAAGGTGGTTACCCTTCGAGGAGGGTAGGAGAAGTGGGGAGGGGGAGGAAACACTGTTTTCTATCCTGACCCTTGTAAAGCTAGGCGACTCTTTACATGTGGACATGTATACCTTTGATAAAAATTTAAACTTAGAAGAGACTTCCACACCTAGTCCAGATGTGATTCTTTCACGCATTTCAGATGTGATTCTTTTGTCCAATCTAAATTGCTTTTTCATTTCTTTCAAAGATAAAAGACCTGAGTTGTTTTTCTTTTTTTTTTTTTTTTTTCTTTTTTTTGAGATGGAGTCTGGCTCTATCACCCAGGCTGGAGTGCAGTGGCGTGATCTCAGCTCACTGCAACCTCTGCCTCTCAGGTTCAAGTGATTCTCCTTTCTCAGCCTCCTGAGTAGCTGGGATTACAGGTGCACACCTGCCCAGCTAATTTTTGTAATTTTAGTAGAGACAGGGTTTCACCATGTTGTCCAGGCTGGACTCAAACTCCTGACCTTTGGTGATCTGCCTGCCTTGGCCTCCCAAAGTGCTGGGATTACAGGCTTGAGCCGCCACGCCCAGCCAAACATTTTTGATACAGACTATCAAAGCTTCTGTTTCCCTAAATCCCTAATTCTTTAATCCCTTTTGTCTTTCCCTTGTGTGTGTATATGTATGTCTGGGTATGTGTCTGTGTGTGTAGGTGTGTTTATATGTGTGCATGTGTGTGTGACTATGTATTTTTTTGCGTATGAGTCTGTATGTGTGTCTGTATCTATGTGTATGTGTATGTGTGGCTGTGTGTGTCTATATGTGTGTGCATATATGTGTGCATGTGTGTATGTGTGTGTTGGTATGTGTGTATATGTGTCTGTGTGTCTGCATGTGTACACGTGTGTATGTGTATATGTGTGTATGTATATGTGTGTACGTGTGCATATGTGTATGTGTGTGTCTGGATAGTACACATGCGTATATGTCTGTGTATGTGTGTGTCTATATGTGTACGTGTGTGTAACTGTGTGTATGTGTGTGTTTGTGTGTGCAAATGTGTCTGTGTGTATATGTGCATCTGTATGTCTATATGTGTGTCTGTGTATGTGTGTGTCTGTATGTGTATGTGTAACTGTGTATGTGCCTGTATGTGGGTGTATATACGTTTCTGTGTGTATATATGTGTCTATGTGTGTGTGTATCTGTATGTGCGTGCACACGTGGCCATGCCACACTGCCGGGTCTTGTCTACATTTTCCTTAGCAGAGAGGGAGCCCCACAGTGGACTCTGCAGTGTCCACATCCAGCAGTGGCCGGCACATGGCAGGCACTCAGTTTAGGCAGCCTGAGCCTCCTCACCATGCACACCTCCTACCCCAGGCCCGGGCAACGCAGCAGCAGTGGAGGCTGGGTGAGGAAGGGGAAGGCCCAGGGCTAAGACCCCACTTCAGCCCTCAGGAGGGACCATGGCTGTCTGGCTCAGCACTAAGCCCTGTGAGACCAGCACCAGGCTGACACTGATGAGCATGGAGAACCTGGGGCCAAGGCAGCCACGGGGCTCTGAGCTGACCAGCTCCCTTGGCCTTCGCTTCCTCTTTGTGTCATCCTTCCCTGTTCAACCTGCTGATGCTTGACTTTTTCCAGTTTGTCTTTTCTGTTTTGTCTCCTCGTTCTGGGATCACTTCTCACTCACCAGCCACGAAACTCCCCAAAATGACCTCCAGGTCACATCTTCCTTACAACATCTTGATTAGTTCTTCAGAGAGTGCAAGCTGTCCCTTGACTTGCTACTATGCCCCTGAGAAATAGAACAGATGGAATTCTCACCTGCGTTTATACTGTCTTCTGCACAACAGCACACCTTAGCCATCGCTTAGTGAACAACTTTACTGATCCCTGTCCAAGGGCCTAAATGATGCCTGGGAATGGAGGCTGAGCTACATACAGGACGACAGCCAGGAGGGAACTTATGTGGGAGTCCTAAGTAGCCCAGGACAAACATTGCCAGCCAGATAGCCAGTCCACAGGAGCTGAAAACTCACCTTCTTCATCCTGCTGCAACTTCTACTGACCACGCCATACCCAGCTGGCCCTGCCCACCAACAGACTCTAACTTACAGACATAGGGCCAGCTGCTCTTGCTCCTGAAAGGGCCATGAATCCAAGGATTGCTCATCAGTAAGCTGGTCAGCTACCCATGAATCGACCTTACGCAACACAAAATATTTGCCCAGCAACTGCAACCTTCATTGGATATGACAATTCACTGGACTCCTTATGAGGCTTGGCATTAAAAATATGGAAATAAATTGGTGAATTGAGAAGAAAAGGAGGCCAAAGCAAACACATAAAAACAGATACCTCCATGATAAGGAAAACCAAGGTATTTAAATCTCCTATGACCACGTCAAAAGAAACCAGGTGAAGCATGTGCATAGCTTTCTATGTGCAGCTTTACAACCAGCCCCTAATGACCTGTCCTCCCTTGAGAACAAAGCCTGAGGCAAATCTTCGCAGCTCCTGCTTTGTGAGGAGATGGGTGCAATCCCGGGGCAGCAAGAGTGAGGGCAGGAAGCAAAGCGGGAGTGGGGAAAGCAGATGCAAGGGATGTGCTGCCAGCTGCTCATGGCCTCAGAAGACACAGCTGGCTGTCCAGGTATATGGGACGTTCAGGGGCAGGCCAAAGGCATCACCATACCTGGAGCAATGTGAGTGTGAGTGGGAGGAGGAGGGAGGTGGGCAGGGAAGGGAGAAAAATTCACAACTGCCACCACCTCCTGTCTCAATGGTCAAACCTCCTTGTGTGGGGCATGAAGCCCCCTCCTGCCCACACCTCCTTCAGGCTGTCTTCACCCTGTACAGGTACGTGAACTCACCTGCACTTCCTGGTCAAGGCCCCAGGCCCTGTACTTTGCAGCTGTGCGCTCAGATCCACACTTCACCTGAGTCGGGATGTGGTGGGAGCAGCCCAGACCACATGAGACCACAAGGCCAGGACTAGGGAGTAGGTGCCAGGCTGCTGTGGTTCTCAGCCCTGAGCCAGATACAGGGCACCTGGGGGCAGGCAGGTGGGGCCAGGTGAATGAATGTGGGAGGCAGATGCAGACATTTGGCCCAATATAACCCCTCTTAGTAAAGTGACCTGAGGTTTACATTCTTACAGTTCAAGAGCCTAACTCTTGAAAATTCACATTGAATTATTCTCACCCTCATCATGCCTCCTCATCTCCCAGTGCCAGCTACAACCACTTCCAAAATCAGCTCTAGTCGAAACATCACTTCACACATTCAGACTCAAGTTATCCTATTACGGCACCCCCACCAACACCATAGCCTTCATACATCTGTAGGCCAACATTTCCCTATCCAAAAACCATGTGCTCCATTCAGAGGCAAAGCATTCTCAGACTGCATGCCCCAAGAATTGTATCTGGAAAATATAATTGCAATGGTCACAGCACTATGGTATGCCAAGGCAGGTGGTTCCTGGCCTGTTCCCAAAGCTTTACATGCTTGTGGGGAGAGGTTCACAAAGACTTTATAATGCTTTTTGCTTTGAAATACCTCAACGTGCACAGGCTGGGCAATGCTATGTAAAGTTTGATATGTTTCATTGCATAAAGTTACATGAGGATTTGGATATTAGGGAGGCTGTGGGTACTTGGGGGAAAGGTAGACCAGAAGTCAGGATTGTTGGCTCCTTGTAGTCCCTGCTCAGACACTAACCTCACGTGACGTGGGGCGTACAGATGTCAACTGTGGCAAAAAAAAAAAAAAAAAAAAAAAAGGAGAGACGGAAAAAGCCTAGGAACAGTCCACAAAGCCTTAATGCTGCTGAGCCGCTGGCTGTTATTCTTCCGACATCACAGCATACAAGTGCTGCAGTCCCCCATCATTTCCCACAGGCCTCAAAACCTTCTGGGGAGCTGCAAAACACAGATGCCTGGACCTTCCACACAGAAATCTCTTCGTGGAGAAGGCAGCCAGATTCTAGTGTGATCTGAGGGACTCCACATCCAAAGGCTCCACAGGTCCCAAACATCTTCCTAGGCCAGAGTCATCATTCCTGATATGCCAGCCACTTTTGTCACTGCACAAGTAGCCATGCTCTCTTTTGAGTTAAGACATTATGTTTTGTTTTTGTTTTGTTTTGTTTTTGAGGCAGGGTCTCACTCTGTCACCCAGGCTGGAGTGCAGTGGTGCAAACACAGCTCAAGGTAGCCTCAACCCCCTTAAGCCTCCCACCTCAGCCTCCCAAGTAGCTGGGACCACAGGCAGGCACCACCACACCTGACTAATTTTTACATTTTTTGTAGAGACAACGGCTTGCTATGTTACCTAGGCTAGTCTTAAACTCCTGGACTCAAGCAACCCTCCCCCATCAGCCTCCCAAGGTGCCAGGATTACAGGCATGAGCCACCGTGGTCAGCCTATTATGTTATTTTTTCAAAGGTGCTCTATTCAGTTAGCTAACACCACAGCAAGGATCCATCTAACTGTTTAGTTAAGGACAACCCAGAGCAGGGCCTGAGGCCACAGGACAGAGAAGTCAAGTTTTGATGGGGAAAGCCATTTGGGCCATCTTCCCGATAGGGCTGTCTGTGGTGCCATAGATACGGCAGGATGGCATCGGGCATCTGGAAAGGAGTGGGGAGGCCCTGGAAGCTGGCCTCGAGGGACACAAGAACAAACTTTGTGAACTTTCCCAAATGTGCCCAGGCAATCTCAGTCCCATGGTTACATTTTGACTCCCACAACGAATGCGAAGCCTTGGAGAATGAATGGGTTTTGTTTGGATTTTCTGAGAAGCATCTTAATTCAAGACCTTTTGCCTGAGTGAGTCAGAGGCAGGAAAGCCTCCAGTCCCACACCAGCTGGTACTTTTCCATTGCCTCCTCCTGGATTATATAACACAGCACATTTTTAGAAACTTGGTTCTAGTTGTAGACTTCTGAGCTAAAATTTCAGCTTCCCAGTCCTCACACTGTCACTTTTTCAAGAGAGGAGATATTCGTGGTTTTGAGCAATGGAGAGACGCTGGAGAATAATATACTCATTATATGGAAAAGGAATACAGAGTTCCATGCAGTCATCTCAAAATATTTCCCTCCCACACCTGTGTTTATATAGGGACATGATAAGAGACCCCGAAACTGACTGTTTCATCTTGTTGCACCTGGGAGAGTGCCTCTGCTGGGATACTTTGAGTGTACAGTCACATGTGGAGGTAGTGTATTAGCTAAATTCATACTAACATGTAATCGATTGATATAGCATCCAGAGAAGCATTCTGTGGCAAGGAAGTTTCATGGGGCCATCTTGAGAAAACTGAGCCCCTGAAATAAGCAGAGGCTGGAGCAAGAGGAGGGAAATGTGTCGACAGAGATGGAGGGAAGAGCTTGTGGTAAAAAGGAAACTGAGGTGTAGACCATTTCCACAACAGTCAAGTCCATGTTGCAAGATGACCGATTACAAGGACCAGATTCCAGGTCTCTCACTTCTCACCTCCCTTCTTAAAATACCCAGCCTCACCTTCCGTAAACCGTTTGTCCAAAACAGCTCCTTGTCCCAAGGACCAAGTTTGACCAAATCCTCTCCTATTTAAGTAGAAGCAGAAAAGCACCAGCCCGATGCCAACCTGTCTTCTTCAGCAGCATTTCGGGCAAATCCATTTGCACAGTGAGTGGCGTTTCTTGTTTTGATGTCTACTTAGCCCCCAAAGACACGAAAGCTTAGTCACAGCCCAAAACATGGGACCAAAGCCAAACAGGAATCGAAAGAATCAAAGACAAAGCAAAAGCATGCCAGCTGCAGCTGTTAAGTCTTCTCCGCCAGCCCCATGTCTGGTTTCCTTCCCTTTCATGCCCACAAACACTGACATTTGTGTACATGCCATTCCCGAGGGCCTTCAGATTTAAAACACACACACACCCATCATTTTCAGCTGCACTTCAGAGAAGTGTCTCATAAACTATGCAGAGAGCTACAGCTTAATTCTGGCTTAATATGTTTCTAGACACCTGATTTTTTTGCTGCAATGGCCATTGTATTGCCTTGTATAGCCTTTCTCCAGGTGAATGGGACATCCCTGTCCCACAATTTCTGTTGGAGTTGCATTTTAGATGAATGTCGACAGTAGACCCAGAGAAGTAAACTAGTGGAGGAGTGGAAAGGTCTTGATATAGAAGTCCTCAGATCCCTGCCCCTGTTTCCACAATGAAGGCAGCTATGTATTTAACACTTGTCCAGCATCTACTTGGGTAACATGGCTTTCCTTGGGGTGCCCTCTCTGCTTTATGGTTTACAGGACAATCACAGTTATCCACCTCCAAAGAATTGTCCATCAAGTCAGTCCATGGAGAGACATGGTGATATGGTTTGGCTGTGTCCCCACCCAAATCTCATCTTGAATTCCCACGTGTTGTGGGAGGGACCTGGTGGGAGGTAACTGAGTTATGGGGGCGGGTCTTTCCCGTGCTGTTCTTGTGATGGTGAATTAGTCTCATGAGATCTGATGGTTTTATAAAGAGGCATGTTCCTGCACAATCTCTCTCTGTTTGCCTGCCACCATCCATGTAAGATGTGACTTGCTCCTCCTTGCCTTCTGCCACGATTGTGAGGCCTCTCCAGCCATGTGGAACTATAAGTCCATTAAACCTCTTTTTTTTCCCCAGTCTCAGATATGGCTTTATCAGTAGCATGAAAACAGACTAATGCAGTAAATTGGTACCAGTAGAGTGGGGCACTGCTGAAAAGATACACAAAAATGTGGAACTGGGTAACAGGCAGAGGTTGGAACAGTTTGGAGGACTCAGAGGAAGACAGAAAAATGTGGGACAGTTTGGAACTTCCTAGAGACTTGCTGAATGGCTTTTACCAAAATGCTGATAATGATATGGACAGTGAAATCCAGGCTGAGGTGGTCTCAGATGGAGATGAGGAACTTGTTGGGAATTGGAACAAAGGTAACTCTTGTTACGTTTTAGCAAAGAGACTGACAGCATTTTGCCCCAGCCCTAGAGATTTGTGGAACTTTGAACTTGAGAGAGATGATTTAGGGTATCTGGTGGAAGATTTCTATTTCTAGGCAGCAAAGCATTCAAGAGGTGACTTGGATGCTGTTAAAGGCATTCAATTTTAAAAGGGAAACAGATCATTAAAGTTTGTAAAATTTTCAGGCTGACAATGTGATAGAAACAAAAATCCCATTCTCTGAGGAGAAATTAAAGCTGGCTGCAGAAATTTGCATTAGTAATGAAGATCTGAATGTTAATCACCAGGACAATGGGGAAAATGTCTCCAGGGCATGTCAGAGACCTTTGCGGCAGCCCCTCCCATCACAGGCCTGGAGGTTTAGGAGGAAAAAATGGTTTCGTGGGCTAGGCCCAGGGTCTCTCTGCTGTGCGCAGTCTAGGAACTTGGTGCCCTGAGTCCCAGCCACTCCACCCATAACTAAAAGGGGCCAAGGTACAGCTCAGGCTGTTGTTTCAGAGGGTGGAAGCCCCAAGCCTTGGCAGCTTCCACGTGGTGTTGAGCCTGCAGGTGCACAGAAGTCAAGAATTAAGTCGACTCTACCTAGATTTCAGAGGATGTATGGAAATGCCTGGATGCCCAAGCAGAAGTTTGCTGCAGGGGTGGGGCCCTCATTGAAAACCTCTGCTAGGGCAGTGCAGAAGGGAAATGTGGGGTCAGAGTCTCCACACAGAGTCCCTACTGGGGCACTGCCTAGTGGAGCTGTGAGAAGGCCACTGTCCTCCAGACCCCAGAATGGTAGATCCACCAACAGCTTGCACCATGTGCCTTGAAAAGCCACAGACACTCAACACCAGCACATGAAAGCAGCCAGGAGGGAGGCTGTACTCTGCAAAGCTATGGAGATGGAGCTGCCTAAGACCATGGAAGCCCACCTTTTGCATCAACATGACCTGGATGTGAGACATGGAGTCAAAGGAGATCATTTTAGAGTTTTAAGAATTGACTACCCCGCTGGGTTTCAGACTTGCATGGGGCCTGTAGCCCCTTTGTTTAGGCCAATTTCTCCCATTTTGAATGGCTGTATTTACCCAATGCCTGTACCTCCTTTGTATCTAGGAAGTTACTAACTTGCTTTTGATTTTACAGGCTCATATGCAGAAGGACTTGCCTTGTCTCAGATGAAATTTTCAACTGTGGACTTTTGAGTTAATGCTGACATGAGTTAAGGCTTTGGGGGACTGCTGGGAAGGCAAGATTGGTTTTGAAATGTGAGGACATGAAATTTGCAGGGGGCCAGTGGCAGAATGATATGGTTTGGCTGTGTCCCCACCCAAATCTCATCTTGAATTCTCACATGTTGTGAGAGGGGCCTGGTGGGAGATAATTGAGTCACAGGGGCAGATCTTTCTTGTGCTGTTCTCATGATAGTGAATAAGTCTCATGAGATCTGATAGTTTTATAAAGAGGAGTTTCCCTGCACAAGCTCTCTCTCTTTGCCTGCTGCCATCCTTGTAAGATGTGACTTGCTCCTCCTTGCCTTCTGCCATGATTGTGAGGACTCCCCAGCCATGTGGAACTATAAGTCCATTGAACCTTTTTCTTCCCAGTCACAGGTACGTCTTTATAAGCAGCATGAAAATGGACTAATACACATGGTAACCACCCACTCATTCAAATAATAAATACCTGGGGAAGAAATATACATTGAGTGTTTGCTGTATGCCAGACTGGAACATGCACTAGTCAACAAAGATGAATAAGACAGGCCCACTGTCTCTCTCTCCTAAATACTTGTAGTCTATGTGAACAATGAACCACAGTGAGGCCAGGTCTATAAAGTCCAGTGATGTGCTAGAGCCAGCTTGTACCAACTCTTTTTTTTCCCCAGGATGGAATGCAGTTGTGCAATCATGGCTTACTCTCAGGCTCAAGTGATTCTCCCACCTCAGCCTCCCAAGTAGCTGGAAATACAGGTGTGTAGCACCATGCCTGGCCTGAATCAACTCTTGAGAACTGACATTACATATCTCTTCCCAGCTGCAAGTTCAGAAATCTCAAGTTGGTAGCTTGAAAGCAGCCATGGTGGGAGTATTTATACTACAGAAATTGGCAAACACCACAAATCAGGATTTTGGTGGTGTTGGTTTGGGTTGGGTTTTGTTGGCTTTTTCTTCATTTCTTTTTTGAGATGGTGGTTTTTTACCAGCACACATCTGTCTGTAACATTAGAGTGATTGAATTGCTGTAGCAGAGAGCACATTTTTCTGCTTTTAGGTGGTGGGATAAGGCTTTACATAAGAGATGGCATCTTGGTGGCACATTTCAAGTTGAGTAGCCTTCTACCAGGCAGCAAAAGAGGAACAAAAAAAAACCCAGAAAGAATAACATAAGTAAAGCCATAGAAGTTTCAAATTAAAAAAATAAAATAAAAAAAAATTTAAAAAAACCTCTATGGATTCAGAGGAGGAAAGCACTACAGTTGCTGAGCTGCCTGGGGAAGCCCAATTGGTATCTAAAGACTAGCAAGGTGATATGGTTTGGCTCTTTGTTCCACCCAAATCTTATCTCGAATTTTAATCCCCTGGTATTGAGGGAGAGACATGGTAGGAGGAGATTGGATCATGGGGATGGTTTCCCCCATGCTGTTCTAGTAATAGTGAGTCAGTTTTCATAAGAGCTGATAGTTTAAAAGTGGCAGTTCCCCCTTCACTCTCTCTCTCTCTCCCGCCACCATGTAAGACATGCCTTGCTTCCCCTTCACCTTCGGCCGTGATTGTAAGTTTCCTAAGGCCTCCCTAGCTATATAGAACTGTGAGTCAATTAAACCTCTTTTGTTTATAAATTACCAAGTCTCAGGTAGTATCTTTATGGCAGTGTGAGAATGGACTAATACCCGAGGTCTTCAGTAGATGGATGGGGGCAGCAGTGGGAGAGGAGCTGCGAGAGGGGGAGCAAGCTGGCTATCAGCATGAGCAGAACAAACTAGGCTGCTTAACTCAGTGGGGCAGAGGAGACTGTCAGCATCCTTTCTCTGACCCCTTTGATAGTTCTCCCATCATCTTCCAGATGAAAGGAAAACTCCTTAGCCTGGCAGGCAAAGCCCTGCAGTTTCCGCACACATCTCCCACCAGCCCCAGCACGGGGCCTACCCTCCTGGGCCATTCATTGTCCTCCTGACCCAGGCTTTTACTTTCTCACTCAGGTTTTCTCTGCCTACTGTAATTCCCTTCTTCCATCCTCCACCTTCTCCTGGAGAACTCCTACACAGCCTCTAAACCTCTTCTAACGTGACTCTTCAAATACTGCATGTTTTCATTCATAAGTGAGAGCTATAAAGGAGATCTCATGAAGATACAAAGTAGATTGGTGGTTACCCAGCTAAGGAAGGGTAGGGGGAAAAGCGGGTGAAGAAAAGATGATTAATGGGTACAAATATACAGTTTGTTAAGAGAAACGAGACCTAGTGTTAGATAGGTCGGTAGGGTGACACAGTTTACAATAATCTGTTGTGTGTTTCAAAATAGAAGAGAAGAATTCAAATGTTTCTAACATAAAAGACAAATATCTAAGGTGATGGATATCTCAAGTACACTGATTTGATCTTTACAAATTATATGAATGTATTAAATTGTCACATGTACCCCAAAACTACATACATCTATTATGCATCAATTAAAAAAAAAACATTTGGCCAGGTGCAGTGACTCATGCCTCTAATGCCAGTACTTTGGGAGCCCAAGGCAAGAGGATCACTTGAGCCCAGAAGGGCAGCTGGGCAAAATAGCAAGACTCCAACTCTACAGAACATTTAAAAATTAGCTGGGTGTGGTGGCACATGCTTGTAGGCCCAGCTACTCAGGAGGCAGAAGTGGGAAGATTGCTTGAGCCTGGGAAGTCGAGGCTGCAGTGAGCTATGATCACACCACTGCACTCCAGCCTGGGCACAGGGCAAGACCCTGTCTCTAAATAAATAAATAAATATATAAATAAATTAAGAACTTTCACAACTCCCATTCCCTGATCCTGTCCATCATCAAATTCCCCAAAAGTCATATGTGTTTCGTTGCAATAATAAACACTTAATGAACTGATGGAGGCTTATGTATGTCACTTGTCTCCCTACCAAAGTATAATGTTCTGTAGGGAAAGAATGCTGGGCTGTCTTCTCTCTGCACCTACAGTATCCGATACAGTGCTTTCTGCTGAATAAGGGATCAGTAACTATTTACTGAACTGACTTGAAGAAGTGGGGTAGGGTTGGGGAATGGAGCACCTGAAATTGGTGAAGACCATAAGGCTCACTGTTAAAAGTTTGCCAATGTCAGGTGTACACTTTTTCCATTTTTTTCTGACTGTTTTCCATCTTTTCTGACTGTTAAGCTAGGTTGCAGTTCATCCATGAGGACTCAACCACATGAGTACACAAACCACATTTAAGATGGTTCAGGGGATACACTTAGTGTTTGCCTAGGTTTTATTTTCCACCTGACAGTTATATTTTATCTGCATAAATGGCCAACATTGATTTTGCCATTTCTTTGTGGTAGTGTCTTCGTAAAATCAATGGAAATCAAAGTTGCTCCACTGTGGGGCCTCAGCTTCTACCATCTCCTTCTGCTTCTCTCCAGATGTTTTCAGGATTTGGAGGATTTTTCTAGAGCAGAGGAAAGGAGTGGGAGGAATCTGTTTTAACAGCTCTGCAGGTGCCTGCTGCATCCCTGGGAGCTTGTTAGAAACGCAGGTTCTCAAGCCTCACCCCAGACCTACTGAATCAGAACCTACATTTTAACAGGATCACGGGATGATTCTTTGCACATTAACACCTGAGAAACGCTATTCTAGAGTCCTGTAGAAGAAAGATCTTTTCCATTAGGAAATTGTCATCAAGAACTGTGGCTGGTTAAAAACGGCCATGCAGTGTTACCACTTCTTCCACTCAGAGATAGGGTCTGTCTCCCATCCCCTTAAATCTGGGTTGGCCTGTGACTACTTTTGATCAGTAGACTATGGCAGCCATTGATGCTGTGTCACCCACACGGTTGGGCTTTAAGAGATCTGAGGCTTCTGTCTCTTAGAACACTCCCTGGAGGGACCCAGTGAATACACTGTGAGAAGCCCCCAGAGATGCACTGTGGATGAGAACTAAGACATTTGACACAACGGTGAGGTTCTTGGCTGACAGCTACTGTGCAGCCATGTGAGTCAGCCTTCCTGGATGTTCCAGTGCAGGTGAGCCCACGTGGAGCAGAAGAATATACCAGCTAAACACAGCCAGCTATAGACTTGTGTTAGGTAATAAAGAGTTGTTTTTAAGCCACTAAGCTTTGGGACGATTTATTTTACAGCAATAGATAACTGAGACAGTACAATAACAAGAGAATCTATCTCCTGAAGAAGTCTCTTTCAGGAAAATGATTTGCTGGGGGGAGGAGCCAAGATGGCCGAATAGGAACAGCTCCGGTCTACAGCTCCCAGCGTGAGCGACGCAGAAGACGGGTGATTTCTGCATTTCCATCTGAGGTACCGGGTTCATCTCACTAGGGAGTGCCAGACAGTGGGCGCAGGCCAGTGTGTGTGCGCACCGTGCGCGAGCCGAAGCAGGGCGAGGCATTGCCTCACCTGGGAAGCGCAAGGGGTCAGGGAGTTCCCTTTCCGAGTCAAAGAAAGGGGTGACGGACGCACCTGGAAAATCGGGTCACTCCCACCCGAATATTGCGCTTTTCAGACCGGCTTAAGAAACGGCGCACCACGAGACTATATCCCACACCTGGCTCAGAGGGTCCTATGCCCACGGAATCTCGCTGATTGCTAGCACAGCAGTCTGAGATCAAACTGCAAGGCGGCAACGAGGCTGGGGGAGGGGCGCCCGCCATTGCCCAGGCTTGCTTAGGTAAACAAAGCAGCCGGGAAGCTCGAACTGGGTGGAGCCCACCACAGCTCAAGGAGGCCTGCCTGCCTCTGTAGGTTCCACCTCTGGGGGCAGGGCACAGACAAACAAAAAGGCAGCAGTAACCTCTGCAGACTTAAGTGTCCCTGTCTGACAGCTTTGAAGAGAGCAGTGGTTCTCCCAGCACTCAGCTGGAGATCTGAGAACGGGCAGACTGCATCCTCAAGTGGGTCCCTGACCCCTGACCCCCGAGCAGCCTAACTGGGAGGCACCCCCCAGCAGGGGCACACTGACACCTCACACGGCAGGGTATTCCAACAGACCTGCAGCTGAGGGTCCTGTCTGTTAGAAGGAAAACTAACAACCAGAAAGGACATCTACACCGAAAACCCATCTGTACATCACCATCATCAAAGACCAAAAGTAGATAAAACCACAAAGATGGGGAAAAAACAGAACAGAAAAACTGGAAACTCTAAAACGCAGAGCGCCTCTCCTCCTCCAAAGGAACGCAGTTCCTCACCAGCAACAGAACAAAGCTGGATGGAGAATGATTTTGACCAGCTGAGAGAAGAAGGCTTCAGACGATCAAATTACTCTGAGCTACGGGAGGACATTCAAACCAAAGGCAAAGAAGTTGAAAACTTTGAAAAAAATTTAGAAGAATGTATAACTAGAATAACCAATACAGAGAAGTGCTTAAAGGAGCTGATGGAGCTGAAAACCAAGGCTCGAGAACTACGTGAAGAATCCAGAAGCCTCAGGAGCCGATGCGATCAACTGGAAGAAAGGGTATCAGCAATGGAAGATGAAATGAATGAAATGAAGTGAGAAGGGAAGTTTAGAGAAAAAAGAATAAAAAGAAATGAGCAAAGCCTCCAAGAAATATGGGACTATGTGAAAAGACCAAATCTACGTCTGATTGGTGTACCTGAAAGTGATGTGGAGAATGGAACCAAGTTGGAAAACACTCTGCAGGATATTATCCAGGAGAACTTCCCCAATCTAGCAAGGCAGGCCAACGTTCAGATTCAGGAAATACAGAGAACGCCACAAAGATACTCCTCAAGAAGAGCAACTCCAAGACACATAATTGTCAGATTCACCAAAGTTGAAATGAAGGAAAAAATGTTAAGGGCAGCCAGAGAGAAAGGTCGGGTTACCCTCAAAGGAAAGCCCATCAGACTAACAGCGGATCTCTCGGCAGAAACCCTACAAGCAAGAAGAGAGTGGGGGCCAATATTCAACATTCTTAAAGAAAAGAATTTTCAACCCAGAATTTCATATCCAGCCAAACTAAGCTTCATAAGTGAAGGAGAAATAAAATACTTTATAGACAAGCAAATGCTGAGAGATTTTGTCACCACCAGGCCTGCCCTAAAAGAGCTCCTGAAGGAAGCGCTAAACATGGAAAGGAACAACCGGTACCAGCTGCTGCAAAATCATGCCAAAATGTAAAGACCATCGAGACTAGGAAGAAACTGCATCAACTAACGAGCAAAATCACCAGCTAACATCATAATGACAGGATCAAATTCACACATAACAATATTAACTTTAAATATA